>NC_000006.12:99767759-99919274 GCF_000001405.40 Homo sapiens | reverse complement strand
AATGCATATCTGGATGAATGGTTCTGTAAACCACATGAGAACTACACACTGAGACAGGTAGCATCTGAAACATTTTATTTCCATAGCTGAGGTCTAGAGACCTACATATGCAGCTGGATGCTCCTATAAAACGTCAATAAGAAGCTGTGTCATGGCCACAGTTTCAGGGGTCTTCATTCTCACTTTTCTAAGATGCAACAGTCCGGGCTCAGTGAATAATATTGACTTCTGAAGACCCAGCACAATGGGTCAGAAACATCTTATTATGTGATAATTGAAGAGCAATTGCTTACTTTCATTGTTTTTTTAATACAGAAAAATATTATGATTTTAAAGACTTAGCTTTAAACCACAGACCTTTTTCTAGTAGCAGTCCCAATAGTCCTCAAATAATTGGCCAGTGAATTATTTTAAATTATATTTACTAAGAGTTGTAAGGAGCTTTATTTAGCATTTAATCAAAGTAGAAAATAAAAAGGGTGATTAATAAATTTATTTTTGTCCCTTTATATAGCGTTTCTATGCATAAGCATATTTATATGCAGATTTACAGAGGTGATTTGATAGAGATTCTTTGTGTGTTTTCTATGTTTGGCCATGATATGTATACATGTTTACTTTCAAATGAAGTTAATAATGATACTTGGGTATTTGTCACTCAGTCAAATAATAATCGTATCCTTATTCTATTCTTATTCAATTCTAGGTGCCTCATTTAAACTTTGATCTCAATTAATAAAAATGAATGAGTAAAAATTGCTTATGTATTAATTTACCTCAGGCTTGTAGCTTCTACTTTTAAGATTTTCTATAAGGGATTTTATATTCTCTTAATAGAAATAGCTTCTCCTCAACAAAGAGCAAATGTTTCTGAATTAGTAAAATGTATCTTAAATATGGCCAGTAGTTTGAAGGCACTCATTATCATACCAAATTGTCGGAAACCTAGATTCTTGTATTATGTCTCAGAAATTACTGCTTTTTGTGGGTTATAATGTCACAGGGTCATGGAACATTGAATCTGAAACATACTTTAGAGACTGTCAAGTGTTAAAGATGAGAAAAATGAGCCACAAATAAACCAAATTATTTTTAACACAGTTCATTGTGTGTCCAGAGACCCACACCTAAAAAGCAGCTAGAAACCAGCCCTGAGTCCTTTCTACCAAACCATGGTCCCTCCCTTGTGGAACACTGATACAGTTGCTAATAGCTATAACAAATACTTAAAAGTTTACTGAGTAAATCAAGATTGTATAATTATGCTCTAAAAGTTGTCAAATTTTAAAGAAATACCTGACTCAGAATTTACTTGGATTTCTTGTCAGAATGGCAGACATTAATTATCCGTTCTCTTCACAGAGCTCTATGGAATCAGCCCAAAGCAAAATAGAGAAATTAACAATATTTTCTTTTACTGCCCCCAATTTTTTGTTGACAGCTCTCTACACCAATAATTTAGTTCATTCTACAAAACGCCTCCTCTCTCACCTAAAGTTAGGAACAGCACTACACTTCCTACAGTTACAATTCCTTTATGACTCTACCTTAGCAGGGGTAGCATCAGATTTTTCCATTTGGCCATTTTAGCAATGTTGAGATGTAGCTATAGTCCACTCAAAAAACTATACTTAATTGGTATCTTGATTTCTTGTGTTTGTAAATTCATCATTTAACACATATTTACAGAACACTCTATCTCCAAGGCACTGTGCTGAGCTCCACTGAGAATAATTTTTTTTAATGCCTAAGACATTACCTCATCTCAAGAACTGAAAATCCAGTGTTTCCTATGCTTCCTGTAGATCAACTGTACCCATTAGGTGTCCCAGAGAACAATCTACAATGGTTTCTTGATTCTAAAATATAATTCATAAAATATACCATTAATTTAATAACTGCTTTGGGAGGTAAAAACACAACATTCACATTAATAGATATACCCTCAGAAACACATGTGGAATGCACATCACAGAATTGAGGGGAAAAAAACTGTATCGATAACTGTCAGTACGTTTTCTTCTAAGATTAAATGTACTCATCTCATCAGTTTATGAAAGGATTCTTCATTAAGTGATTTCATTGCTATTAATGTCTGAATTTAAAGACAAAAGTGAATCATATCAAAGGGTCAAAATAGATTAAATATCTCACAAACAATGTTTACCTTTTTCATGTAAGAACTGAGAAAAATGGGAATAATTTTGAATTAAATGTATTGCAGCAGCAGCAAAACCACAAGAACTTGCTACCTTAACAACAGAAAAACTTAACATTGCATTATGAAAACAGAGCTTTGAGCTTCTTGAGGATAAAAAGCTACCTCTGGCTCACCACACCATCACTGGGAGTGTAATTCTGGGATACTACTTCAAAGGTATTCTCTTCTATCAGAAACCTATTTGAAAGTATAAAGTAGCCTTTTAATCAGAAGTGGGGGAAAAAAGCATTTCTAAAACACTATATGATTTTTACTGAGACTACAGGTGGTTCCTATAGCTTATTAAATGTGTTGTTCTTCCTAATTTATAAAACTGAATACATTTGCTAGTTCTCTGAAAAACATTCAAGGCAAATATACTAGACATCTTTTAATAACAGCTATCTAAAATGCCATATGTAAGTCTGTTCCAAAGCAATTGACAAAATTATTTCCAGGAATAAGAAATAAGGAATGAGATTCCTCTCCTCAATTTTCTTTTTTCTTTTTTTTTTTTTTTTTTTTTTTGAGATGGAGTCTCGCTCTGTTACCCAGGCTGGATGGAGTGCAGTGGCGCGATCTTGGCTCACTGCAAGCTCTGCGTCCCGGGTTCATGCCATTCTCCTGCCTCAGCCTCCCGAGTAGCTGGGACTACAGGCGCCCACCACCACGCCCAGCTAATTTTTGTATTTTTAGTAGAGACGGGGTTTCACTGTGTTAGCCAGGATAGTCTTGATCTCCTGACCTTGTGATCTGCCCGCCTCGGCCTTCCAAAGTGCTGGGATTACAGGCGTAAGCCACCACGCCGGGCCTCCTCTCCTCAATTTTCAATGTTGTGTTGACTGCTTTGGAATTCCTGGTGTCAGTAGACCTGGTTTAAGTTCCACCCTGGTCAATTACTAGATGTAAGACCCTTGCAAAGGACATGAGCAGACACTTCTCAAAAGAAGACATTCAGGCAAGACAGACATATGAAAAAAAGCTCAACTGATCATTAAAGAAATGCAAATCAAAACCACAATGAGATACCATCTCATGCCAGTCAGAATGCAATTATTAAAAAGTCAAGAAACAACAGATGCTAGTGAGGTTGCAGAGAAAAGGGAATACTTTTACACTGTTGGTGGGAATGTACATTAGTTCAACCATGTGGAAGACAGTGTGATGATTCCTCAAAGACCTAGAAGCAGAAATAACATTTGACCCGGCAATCCCATTACTGGGTATATACCCAAAGCAATATAAATCATTCTATTATGAAGATACATGCATGTGTATGTTCACTGCAGCACTGTTCACAATAGCAGAGACATGGAATCAACCCAAATGCCCATCAATGATAGACTGGATAAAGAAAATGTGGCACATATACACCATGGAATACTATGAAGCCATGAAAAATAATGAGATCACGTCCTTTGCAGGGACATGGATGGAGCTAGAAACTGTTATCCTCAGCAAACAAATGCAGGAACAGAAAACCAAACACCGCATGTTCTCACTTATAAGTGGGAGCTAAACAGTGAGAACACATGGACACATTGGGAAGAACAAAACACACTGAGGCCTGTCAGCAGGTTGAGGGGAGTGAGGGCATCAGGAAGAATAGCTAATGGATGCTGGGCTTAATACCTAGGTGATGGATTGATCTGTGCAGCAAACCGCCATGGCACACATTTACCTATGTAACAAACCTGCACATCCTGTACAGAAGAAAATATTTTTTTAAAAACTGTTAACTAAACTACTTAATTTATAGATTTGGAAACTGGAGCCCAAAGAGGGTAAAGTGATAACTCAAAATCAAAAAGCTTTTTGTTGCCAGAACAAGGGCAAAAATTTGAAGCTCCTGACTCTTAGGCCCTCCCTGGTTTCCACCATATCCTTCTTTCTCAGGCTGTACTCAGAAAGTAGGGGGCTGTGGATTCCATGCCAAGAAGTTGGTTTATAAATGCAGTGAGATGCCTTGAAACTTTTTGAGGAGTGCAGGATCAGAATCAGATCTGTGCTCTTAGAAATAGCTGGCACTAGAGTGTGTGATGAAAAGAACAGGAAGAGCCTGAGGCTGAAAATCATAGGAAGTTATCACAATGGGCCAGGAAATAATGCCTCAACCAGCACAATGACAGTAAAGGTGTATACATTTACCTACCATTTGTTGAGCGCATACAGTGTACCAGGCAATGTGCATAATCTCATATAATCCTTGCACAGCCCTCAGAGCTACATACCATTATTGTCCACATCTTATACATGAAGAATCCAGGGCTTGGAAAGGTTGAGTAACCTGCCCATGGTCACTCAGCTAGCAACCCCAGGCTGATGCTCTTATCCACTTTTCTTCTTAGCCTTCACAGTGGATGCATCGTTAAAATGCAGATTTTGATTTGGTAGCTCTAGGGTGCAATCTGAGATTATGCATTTCTAACAAGCTCCCAAGTGATGCTGATGCTGCTGTTCCACAGAACACACTTTAAGCTGAAAAAAGTTGTGTCCAATAGAAATGCAAGGGAGGAAAGAGATAGGAGAAACCTTCAAAAATAAATTTGGTTGTGTGGAATGAGGAAGAGAGAAGATGATGAAACCATTTTGAGATTTCTAGCCAATGGGAAAGCTACTGATTAACATAAGAACCCAGGAGAAGGACCAGCTGCGATCTGTATTCATTAAATGGAGTTTCTGCTCATCTGTTTCTAGATCAATCTTAAAAAGAAAAAGAATTTAACATACTTTTTTGGCAGGCTACTAGTAGAAATTAACAGTGTGTACATATCTACATGCTCATTCAACCATATTGTTTATTAGCAACCCAGCCACACAATAATTTTTCTAGTTTTATAATATCATTAACACTTTATAGTTTTGTATCGTTTCTTAAAATCAAGACTGATGTTGACATGGAAAGGTATAATACAGACGCCAGGGATTAATTATTGCATAAAGAATATAGAGAAGTTGGAGAAGAGAGAAAAACCACAGGCTATAAAGCCAGTAAACCTGGGTTTGCATCCCTAAATTGCTACTTACTGCCTGTAAGACCTTGAGCAAGTTCAGTAACTACTCAGTTCCTTATCTGTAAATTGAAGATGATAACATCACCCATTTCAAACTGTTGTTGTGAGACATGGATGTTTAAGGTGCTTCAAACATGCCTTGGATAGTGCAAATACTCAGTACTTTTAGTGTCCTTATCATTCCCCTCATCATCTTCATTATCATGATTATCAACATCATTATTTAAAAATACTTGATTGAAAAAACAGCCACAGTGTTTTGCAATTTCTCCCATTGAGAAGTAGTCTATTTTTAATCTAGACTGCCTTGAAACTTCCTTTTACCAGTAGAATATGGCAGAAGTGATACCATGTAAATTCCAAAGCCTAGGTAGGCCTCAAGGAGCCTTCCTTGAACCTTCTACTTTTGCCCTTTTGAACCTGCTTGAGACACTACATAATGAAGCCAGTCTAGCCTACTGGGGTTGAGAGGCCACATGAAGGAGAACTGAGGTACCCAAGATGGTAGCCAGCACCAACTGCCAGACATGTGGATGATACCCTCTGGACCAGCTGACTCTCCAGCATTCACAGCCATGAGAGTGGCTCAGATGTAACCAACAAATGATCAACCACCAATCCACAAAATTGTGAGAAATAATAAGTCGTTCTTGTTTTTAAAGCCAGAAGTTTTGGGGTGATTTGTATTATAGTATAGGTTACCAAAATAGCATCCATGTAAGTAAAAATTAGTAAAATAGTCCTTGTGATTAAAAAAATTGTGAGCCTCTAAAGGATGCAGTTATTATGAATCTTGATTCATTCATTCATTCATTTATTCCATTTGAATATGCTAGCTGCTCCATAAATATCTATAGCATGAATATAAAATATGTTTCAGATACAGCTTGGTGAAAAAACATTTTCCTGCCCTTACAGAGTTTATAGTCCAGTTAGCATTAAAAGTGCAAACACACAAGTCTATAAATTGTAATAGATGCCTATAGGAGAGGATAACAAAGAGAAACCCAACCTGCACTGGGCAGTTTTTCATCAGTACTTAGAGAGCAGCTGTGAAACAAATTCACTTCCAGCAATTTTATTCTAAAAGAAATAGCTATAGCAGCGAACAGAAAATGCTTAAAGTATGAGGAAGCTGTTGTTCTATTTCTTTTCTATTTAAAAGGGTAGATATAAATAAACTGCCTACAGAGATGGGGAAAACAGATGGATTTGAAAATTCAAACTCACACTGAATGTAATTAACTTGAAAAAGGAGAGAACCCAATGACGTCTGACATCATAAGTGCCCGGGAGACAGGCAAAGGGCTAACTTCTTTTTAACACCACAGTAGTCTCAGCAGTAAGGAAAATTCAAACTCGATTACAGTCTCTGAAGAGGTGAAAGAGCAAATGAAGAGAGAAAAAAAAAATGTGATTGTTGGAGAGTAATTAACATTTTGACCCAGTTGCCAGCCTGAGTAGGTATTTGCTGCTTTTTAACAGAGTTTGGGATTCCCAGATCATTGCAAATGAGAAGGTCTCCTGAAAGCACTGTGAGTACTGTTTACTATTTGATTCTGAAAAAGGTACACCTGAAGAGAAAAATGGACTTACTTAAAGCACTTCTTCAGCAAGAATGGAGGGTTGCCTTCTGCACAGAGGGGTACTGATTGTATACCTGCAAGGAGCACTCTGTGATAATTGGAACAGAAGAACAACAAGATGATCCTTGGCCTTGAGACAAAGGACACTCTGGGGCTTGATCACAGTCATGCTCCAGGCCTCTGGAATTGAGGCTTCAGTGTAACCTGATGTACAAAGCCTTTCACTGTTGAGCCACGGTGACCATTCTCCTCTACTCACCCTGTAGTTTGGTCAGTCCTACATGAGGGGTATACATTCACAAATCTAGGGGGCTTTTTCCCCTCCACCTAACAAACCTCTGCTCATTACACCAAGTTTAAATATTATTTCCTTCTATTCCTAACCCCAAAGCAAGCCAAGTTAGCCATCCTCTTGTTAGTACTTACATAATACTTTGTAACTCCCTCTATTATAGTATAATCAGTGATATTTCTTGCATAATTATCTTATATACTACATTGTAAGCTTCTTAAATCCAGAATGCATCTGACTCATCTTAGCATCTGTGGTACCTAAGTATCTGTTACATAAGAAGTATTCAGGAAACAGTTAATGAAATAAATAAAGGAATGAATTAATGAGAAAGGAAGAGAGACAAAGAATACTCTCAGGGATATTGAGGAGTGTCTGTGTGCATGTGTTGTGCATATATTTATACTCATATTTATATGCATGTTCATAGTTACACATGGATGTGGAAAGATATCTATCTAGATGTTAACAAATAGAAAGATTTGTCATATAAACTGAGAAAACATGTTTATCATTCAGGTAAACATGTTTTAATCTCTTTAAACCTCCTCTTTTTATTTCTTTATTCTAAATGTAGTGATAAAGCACTGACATATCATTTATGTATTAAAATCCTTGCAGACATTTTCCCTTTATTTGAGCTTAGGATTTTCTAAAAGGCAACCAATTTGCATTCCTTAAGATTTCATGTGAAAAAATATAAATAAATGAGATAAAAAAGATTTAATGTGGCTTCAAATGCCTTACTGTAAATCTATGAAAATGGTATTTAATAAATAATACAAGTGCTTAACTTAAAGCCTGCACTTCTGTAAACCAATTTCTGAACTTCAAAAATGCCTAGCATATTTTAAGAATGTTTGAAAGTTCAAAGAATAACCTTTTCAAAATTATAAAATTAGATTAGGTATCAAGTGGAAAATGCTCAGTTCTGTCGTCTTTTTCAATGAATCGAATTCCTGTGAATGTTATCAAGCTAAATAACTACAGATTCTAAAGAGAGTTGGTTCTATAATACCAGGTGTCTTCTCTACATGAATACTTTCTATCTTGCTTCCATATAATTATTATAATATGATGGCATTATTTGAAAAACATTTTTAAATATATTCTTGTAGTCCAGATGTGGGTTTTAAAGATAACATTTTTTTTTATCTCTGAACTTATAAAAGGTATAAGAATATGCTCACTATAGAGAATTTGGAAAACAAGTAATACAGGCACTGTGGAGAACAGTCTGGAGGTTCCTCAAAAACTAAAAATAGACCTACATATGATCCAGCAATCCCACTACTGGGCCACAGGTAAAGAAATCAGTATATCAAAGGGACACCTGCACTCTAATGTTTATTGCAGCACTATGCTTAATAGCCAACATGTGGAATCAACCTACACGTCCAACAGCAGAAGAATGGATAAAGAAAATGTGGCATATATACACAATGGAATACTATTCAGCCATTAAAAAGAGTGAAATACTGTCATTTTCAGCAACAAGGATGAAACTGGAGGACATTATGTTAGGAGAAATAATCCAACAACAGAAAATTAAACACTGCATGTTCTCACTCATATGTGGAAACTAAAAGAAATTGATCTGACAGAAGCAAAAAGTAGAACAGAGGATACTAGAGGTTGGACAGGGCATGGGGAAGACAGAGATAGGGAGATATTTGTTAAAAGATACAAAATTACGTCTAGATAGGGGAAATAAGTTCTAGTGTTCTACATCTACATCACTGTAAGATGACTATAGTTAACAATAATATATTACATAGTTTCAAACAGCTAGAAGGAGTATATTGAATATTTCCAACACAAAGAAATGATAGGTATTTAAGATGATGGATATGTCAGTTACCCTGATGATCACTATTATATGTACCAAAACATCAGTATGTACCCCATTTATATGTACAATTGCTATGTGTCAGTTTTGTAAAAAGACAACTCAAAAAAAGAAAAGAAAAATCATCCCTAATTCAGAAACCAGAGATAATCATTGCTAATATTTTATCATAATAACATTTCATTACAAAAGTAATAAAAAATAGGAAATTTAGAAATAAAAAAAGAAAAAGTAAAATGAAAATCACAATGGTTTCTATTTTTTATTTCTAAGCCTATAGGTTACCTTAACACAATTTGAATGATGGTATATATTTTTAAATAGAACTTAGGTTACTCCCAGTTTTTTAAGGTTATAACTAATATTGCAATGGACATTTTTGATACGTAAGTATTGTCTGAGTTTTTGACACTTTTTTGGGACAGATTCATAGAAGAGAAATAAATAAATAAAAGAGTACCCAGTTCTTAAAATTCTTAATACCTTTTGCCACGCACCATGGAACCACCTACCTGCAACAGATAACAGCATCTGTTCCCCATCTTCTCAACACCATTCAGTATTATTATTTTTCTTCTCTACTAATATCACAGGTCAAAATTGTTTCTCAACAATTTTGTGCATTTCTTTGATCTCTAAGTACATGTAGGCATTTTTCATATGTTAATTGACCATTTTCATTTACTGTGAATTAAGCTCCTTGAAGACAGGATATTTGTCTATCCCAAGACCCTCTGTGTCTGCCACATGGTAATCAGTCAATAATTGCTGTAGGAAAAATGGTATTTTCATATTTTCATATACTTCAGCCATTTTTTACATTTTTAATGTTTTCTTATTGATTTTAAAAGGCCTTTCATATACTAAATGTTGGCTGTAATTATTTTCTCCAATTTCTCATTTTCCTTTTAATCTTGTTAATGGTGTCCTTTGATGAACCATCTTTTTTTTTTTTTTTTAGATGGAATCTTGCTCTGTCGCCCAGGCTGGTGTGCAGTGTGGAGCATGGCACAATCTCAGCTCACTGCAACCTCTGCCTTCCAGGACCAAGAAATTCTCCTGCCTCAGCCTCCCGAGTAGCTGAGATTCGAGGCGAGTGCCACCACGCCCGGCTAATTTTTGTATTTTTAATAGAGACAGGGTTTCACCATGTTGACCAAATGGGTCTCAAACTCCTGACCTCAAGTGATCTACCCACCTCGGCCTCCCAAAGTGCTGGGATTATAGGCGTGAACCACCGCACCTGGCCCCATCTTTTATTTTTATATTTTTACATCATATCCATCAGCTTTTTTCCTTTGTGATTTTCTCAGTTTTTATGCTTGATGAACTCCTTTTCCATTCTCAGATTATTTTAATGTAAATATAATTTGGTTATTGTTGGGCAGGGGATATGGTATTTATTACTTCCATTAATGTGTTTCATTTACAAAGAAATTCAATGCCTCTTGAGAATAACTTGAGGACTAGTTGGTGTGTCCTGGCAGTCCCTAAAAAGTAAGAATATGAGACACTGGAGAGAATACATTTTTCTTTGCAAAGGTTCTTTTTTTTAATAGATGCACATAGTTTTGAGATGTATGTGATAATTTAATACATTAATATAATTTGTAAAGATCAAATTAGTGTAGTTGGAATATTCATCTCCTTAAATGTTTGTGTCTTTTTTATGCAAGAACCATTCAAATTCTTTTCTAGCTATTTTGAAATATATAATAGATTATCATAAACTATAGTCACCCTATTTATCTATCTAACATGGTCTTATTTCATCTATCAAACTGTATACCTGTACCCATTAATCAACTTTTCTTCTTTATCCCCACCTCTACCTTCCCCACTCCCTGGTAAACACTAATCTACTCTCTATCTTCATGAAATTCACTTTTTTAGCACCCATATATAAGGGAGAACATATAATATGTGTGTTTCTGTGGTTGGCTTATTTCACTTAACATGACCTTTAGTTTTATCCATGTTGCAGCAAATGACAGGATTTCATTTATTATGGCTGAAAAATACTCCGTTGTGTATATATGCCATATTTTCTTTACCCATTCATCCATTGATGGGCACTTGGGTTGATTCCACATTTCGGTTATTGTGAATAGCGCTGAGATAAACTTGGGAGTGCAAGTGTCTCTTTGATATCTTAATTTCCTTTCATTTGGATATATACGCAATAGTGAATTGCTGGATCGTATGGTAGTTCTATTTTTAGTTTTTTGAGGAACCTACATACTGTTCTCCGTAGTGGCTGTACCAATTTACATTCCCATCACAATGTATGAGGTTTCACCTTTCTCTACATCTTTTCTAGCATTCATTATTGCCTGTCTCTTTTATTAAAGCCATTTTAACTGGGATGAGATGATATCTCACTGTACTTTTGATTTGCATTTCTCTGATGACTAGTGATGTTGGGTTTTTTTTCATATGTCTTTTGGCCATTTGTATGTCTTCTTTCGAGAAATATCCAGATCTTTTGTCCACTTTTTAATCAGATCTTTTTTTGCTACAGAGTTATTTGAGCTCCTTATATATTCTGATCATTAATCCCTTGTCAAGTGAATAGTTTGTAAATATTTTTTCGCTAGACTTTTATTTTACTTATTTTTGTGGGTACATAGTAGGTATATATATATATTGGGTACATGAGATATTTTCATACAGCATGCAATGTGAAATAAGCACATCATGAAGAGTCGGGTATCCATCATCCCCTCAAGTAGTTTGCACATATTTTCTCCCTCATTCTGCGGGTTGTCTCGTCACTTTGTTGATTGTTTGATATAATCCCATTTTTCTATTTTTGCTTAGGTTGCCTGTGCTTTTGAGGTCTTATTTTAAAAAGTATTTGCCCAGACCAATGTCCTAAATCATTTCCTCAATATTTTATTCTAGTAGTTTCATGGCTTCGGGTCTTCGATACTTTCAGGGATCATTTCTATTGCTCATTACAAGGATTCTTAATCTGGGGTGAATCCTCTAAGCCTGTAAAATTCAATGTGCACTGTTCTGGGCAGGGTCCAAAAGCATCCGTGATTCCAAAATGATTAAGAACCATTAGAGATTCTTCAAAGAATGCTTATGCCTGATGTTATCTGGATTCCCTAATATTTAAACGTTAACAATTTTTCTGCAAATGTAGAGCTTGACACCCCAGGAAAAGGAAGAAGAAAAAGGCTAAAGAATAGTGACTGAAGTTTTTAAGCTGAAGAACAAATTCAGCAAAGGATTTTCTGAAGTTGCTACCATACTGAACCCAGACTTCGCAAATGATAACTTACTATATTGGGTGCCAGCCCATATGCCTGTCACTGAAAATTCAATAGATCTGAAAGCTAAATATGACAATCTTTTCACATAATTTAAACTCATAGAATTTCTCAATGGGCTGAGACCTTACAAGCTATCTAATTCTACATTACTCTCCTTCCCAAAGTGTCTCAAACAAGTAGTCAGCAAGCCTATGATTAAGTATATCTAGAGATGGGGAACTTTTTCCTTCTTACGACAATTCATTGCAGAATTTCTCCCTTAAGCCCCTATTTCATGAAGATCTAAGTTTTCCATTTATCTTACTGAATCAGTGGAGCCCAGGTAATCAGACACACCTGCAGGAAATCTGCTGAAACAAACTTTCAGGCCTTTTAAATAAATGAGCTGAGACACAATCAAAACAGCATGTCACTGCCCTGTACAGATTTGTGCTGAAAGGTTTATGAAACAGTGTGAGATTTTGAATACCAAGTGCTCTTTAAAAATGAAACCAGAATTTAAGTTATAAAAATCATGTAGTGCAGTATGAGCTATACTGATTTTATTTTATTTTATTTTTTGAAACAGGGTCTCAGTTTATCACCCAGGCCAAAGTGCAGTGGCATGATCTCAGCTCACTACAACCTCCACCTCCCAGATTCAAGTTATTCTCATGCCTCAGCCTCCCGAGTAGCTGGGACTACAAGCGTGCGCCACCACACCCAGCTAACTTTTGTATGTTTAGTAGAGACGGGGGATTGCCATGTTGGCCATACTAGTCTTGAACTCCTGGCCTCAAGTGATCCGCCCACCTCAGCCTCCCAAAGTGCTGGGACTATAGGCGTGAGCCACCCTGCCCGGCCTATACTGATTTTTAGAACTCCTAAGTTGAGGAAACAGGGACAGTAGTTAATTTCTGTGTAGGTGATTATTAAAGTATAAGGTCAGGCTATTTCAACAAAACTGGCCAGTCATTTTGAAAAAGTGAAAGCAAATGGGCAGAAATTCTCCATTTTGACTTGAGGAAATGTCCCAGTGCCAACATAGACAAATGCCTGAATGGCCTCTGGGGATTCTCAATGCTGGATGGTGACAGAAAACAGACTGTCATCTAGATTTCTGTAGAACAATGGAAGAAGGACTAGAACTAAGTGTGTAGTTATCGTCTAGCACAAATATGCATGTAACTGCAAAAACTCATATGAAATAACTTTAGTCTCTTTAAACACTCATTTAAATAATAATGTTATTATTTGTCAAAAGATACCATATGGACCAGGTACAGGAATTAGCCTATTAATTTCTGTATTGCTCACAGCAATAAAAAGAAAAAAGTTCAATCAGAAACCTCAAGGGGGAGTCAGTGCTCAATTAGGGCGAACTTAGAAGCAGCTTGTTATAGGCTTTTACTGCCCCTGCCAGGTCCCTGAAGAAAACAACTCTGGCCTAGTTAAACAATTACCTGATTCTTGTGCTTTGAGTTCCTGCTTTGAATAATTTCTACATAGGGTTTTGGCATAGATATTTCTAAATGCTTATCTGTTTACTTAGGATATGTACTAGTAGTGTTTTTTAAGCCACAAGTTGCAACCAGAAAGCCATGAAACCAATTTAGTAGCTCAACCAGCTGTTTTACCTCCTTTCCCCCTTAATTGATAGAACAGAGCACAGTTGTGCAAATAATATACGTTTCCAGGTGTGGTGTGCATACATGCACACACTAGTATGTGAAATAAAATATATTTCTTACTCTAGGTTAAAAATCAAATACATGTGAAAGACATTCCTCTGGGGAAGAGAGATTAGAGAGATAGAGAGATGAATAGACAGACAGATTCTAATTTATTTAGGAAAAGATTACGTCCCTATCACAAAAATCTAGATTTAATAATATTTTTCTAAAAAGCCTTTTCTACAATATGCTGTCAAAGAATTTTTTTAAATGGCTTCATTAATCTTCACAACTCTCCTGTGTGGGAGAATTGGGCTTATATTAAATGATTCTGTCAACTTCACCTCAAGAGAATGGATTTCTACAGATAGTAGCTGCCAATTTTTATTTGCCAAACCAAGGATTTTTCAAGAATGTAGAATAAGATTTTAGAGTTGTGACTAAAAATGAAATGTCAGTAGTGATTTATTTCTGATGAAAACAACTTAGACCAGGTCGAAGCGCAGACTCAGAAAGCATAAAACACCCTCCACGTAGCATGCCTTTTCAACTTTCTTCTCTCTACTGCTAAGTCTCAGTCATCTAGGCATACACTATCTGCATTATGAATTATTTATGTAAAACTCTCACACACACCAAGCATATACACATATTTCCCATCGCCATACTCCTTTTGCCTCCTGCCTCTTTGGCTCAGACATAAGGTGCCAAATGCTTGCCTGAACCATATCTGGGAATCCAAGTTTCTTGATCACCATGGCTTACTTGCCTAATTGAACCTCTGATATTAGCCAAGCCCACTATTGACCCTACCGTGTGCCTATTCCCCCTTAGTAAATAGCTTCTGCCAAGCGCTGCGCACCCCGCTTTTCCTGACTCTCCTCTTTGCTTATATCACACTGTCTCACCAATAAATCCCAATGCATCAGTGCCACGCATTTGGTTTTGGAGCCACATGGTAAATCACAAACTTCATGGAATGACTGTGAGATGAAAGTACAATAAACTGCATTTTGCATCTTGGTCCAAATACAGTTGAAATTTTCCTTCAGAACATGTAGATACTCAAAATTCTTAAGAGACTTAGTGGGGGAAAAAAGTGCTATGAGCATTTAATGGCATGGTGGTATGCTTAGGGAACAGAATTAAACATATTTGGCTCTTTTCTAAGATTTCCTCAATTGCAATAGACCCTCAAGGCCACAGTCAACCCCAGTGACTACACAAAGGAAAGGGCCTCTTAATTAGAGACATGAGAATGTGCTAGCTCCTATTTTCTATAATGGTTAACCAAAAGTCTCATTTCCTCACGACCAAAGTGATGCCGAACAGATCTAGGTATTGATAGATAGGCACTGCAATCACCCAGTAGAACTTTGGAGCTGGGTAGGAGCCAGAGGAAGGCACAGGCAGGACCAAATACTGGTAAAAGATATGATTGAACTTTAAAGAGTTGATAAGAGGTGATAGATAAATGAAGAACATAAAGAAAATGTGGGTGCTAATGACCTGCTTTTCAAGCCAGTTTCTAGATCTTAGGTGACTCTCTAGACAAATATTAAGCTCTTCAAAGCAATAGTTTGCAAACCGATTTTCAGTAATTCACTGGTTCCAATTTAAAAATACTTTTTAAGTAACAAACGTGTATGATAAAGTTAAGTGCTGAAATGTCCATTTTATTTAATTAACCACTCTGTTCTGTCAAACACTTGGTTAACATGGTGAGGAGAAAAATAAACATGTAGTTATTTGATTTAACTGATTAGTCAACCCAATTTAAATGGCTGATTCCTTCATTCTACATACAGCCACCTCTCAACCACCTTCAAAAAACAAGAAAGCTAGTATTCAAATTACTGGCATTTCTTCATTTCTTTCTGTTGTCAATGTATTTGGTCCAGATCCACCATAGTGTGAGCCGGGATATGTGGTGTCCACCCCAGGCTTCCGTACTAATATGTTGGATATAAAAGAGAATGGAATAGCACAGTAAGGAGATATTTTCACAGAAAAAGATACTGGAGACAGAAAAAAACAAGCAGAGAGGACAGATCAGGGTCAGCTATGTGGAGGTCAGTCTCTAAGGATGTGTTGTGCTTTCTTCTCTCCTAAACAGTTGTAGCAGATGAAAAACAAAAACTAATTCATAGACCAGAAAATTAAGCTTTGCATTATGTGATAAGAGAGACTCAAAGAAAACAGTAGACTTCAGACATGTGAGGGGGCTTGCATTTTGTAACTAAAGGAAATACAACCACCCTATGCTGGTGAACTGGAACATATTCTGATTATATTTTCAAAATGAATTAATTTCCCGAACTCTTGAGGTGGGCTACAACATCCTTAATTCAACAATTTTCTGTAAAAATGTCTCAGTCATTACTGACTCTGCCTCCTTCCATAATTCTAGTCTGCAGCAAATACAGAGCTATTGTCCTCCAGTCCATCTTGAGATTACTCTTCCAACCCTGTGTGCATCTCACCTAAGAGTCTTTGGCAAATCAGCTAAAATACCTCACCTCCTCTTACCTCCTGGTGGTACTTCTGGCAGCAGCAGAAGCAGGAGTTCAGCAGCATGATTCCAACAGCAGTGGCTACAGTGGCAGTAGCAGAGGTGGCCGCTCATCACTGGGTAACATGCCCTTTTCTGAGTTGGTCCTCCATCCTTCCAACAAGTGTTCAGCCAGTTCCCTGCATTAATTCCTCTCTGCTTGAGATACCTGAAGTGGTTTCTATTTTCCATATTGGACCCTGACAAATACAGAAAGCACTTATTGTCACTGCTCATCTTCTCCCATTTTGTTCCTTACATTTTATTAATTTATGAACTAAACATTTAGTTCAAAATTATAGAGTCCTATGAGATTTATAGTATCCGAGAGAGGCATATTTCCTTTCCCGTGCCCTCACTATACTGTTTTCCAACCTTTTCTCCAAGAAAAGTTTGACATCTGAATACAAAAGTATTCCTATTTTTTATTATAAGTGCATTGTTATGATTAGAAAAACTTGTTGGAGGCGAGTTAACCAATTATTCTTAATGCTGAGTTTTTTTCCTCTAAAAGGGAGATAACTTGAGTCACTTCAAAGGGGCCACTTAGAACACAATTAGATCTTAAGCATTTGTTTCACATGACTTATCATGGTAGTTCTCACAAAAAGAGAAAAGAAGAGCGCCTACACTGAACCCTTTTTGCCAAGCATCTTCTGCTCATGACAACTTGGGTGGATTCTTTTGCCAGCAGAGCAAAACTTCAGCTTTACAAACACATCTAAAAATATTACCCTGATTACATAATCAGCCTCTTAAATACTATAATAAGAAACAATCACTTTTACAAGGAGATAAACTTTACCCAAACAAATTGTTTCTTAGTTTTATAACGCTCCAATAGCTATTAAATGGCTCATATTCCCCACTTATGCCCAAGGGGGTTCAATTGATTGGTCTGAAAATCGACCAGTGTCTATTTTGATCTTCTTATGATAGGATAACCACTTAACAAAGTAAGATCTTTATTTTTACCAGTCCAATATCCTCTAAAGAACTTACAAAGGGACCATCTGGCAGAAAGAAGCAGGAGTGTTTGAAGATTAATTCTGCTGAATCAATTCAGAACGCTAACTTGGAAGTGTAGCAAAAGCAGAACGTGCAAGTGAACATTAAATGAAATATGGTATTAAATTATCTCTGAGACATATGTGGACCCTGAAACTATTGAAACCAAGTCTAAATGTGTTTGGAGTTTGGCATGAAAGCTTTGGTTTGGTAAATATAATGCCAAAAAAAATTTTAAGTCTGATAAAATGGCAATATTATATTTTCCAAAGACATATTTCTGTCCATCTTTGTTTAAAATAACTAGCAACTAACAGCATTGCTGCCTGAGAAATCAGAGATTATGCTAAGTGTCTTGAGAAGCAATTACTGCCTTTCTTTGAACTGTCAACTATATTTGAAAGTAATCAGAGCATGGTAACAGAATCGTGATCTCATGCTCTGGAAGTGCCAGTTAGTTCCATTGTTTCATGGCAGTGGCTAATCTCAAACCCCAGCCATCCCACAAATATATTCTACTGGTCTCATGAAAATAGAGATCAAAGAATGGTGTTTTAGAACTTCACCAGACCTTTAATATCCTTTCAAGATATTAAAAGATTTATCTGAAGTCCTGTAACAATGAGTTAGGCAGTGAGGACAAGAACTGAATAGTCAGTTCATTCTGCCTCAGGCACATGAGTGAGGGTCCTGGGCCCAGGAATCACCACATGCAAGAAGCTATCTCAGAGCATGTCCTGCGGCCATCAGTTAATCACACACTCTATTCATTCACCCTTCCTAGGTCTTTGAAATCCATTTCACCTTGACAACAAATTCTGAGTTGTGGCCTAAAGTCAGTGTGCAAGACACTTTTGTATTTTACTTGGGAATCATTTTCAATGAGGAAATATGCCTTCAGCTATCTGCCTATTTTTTTTTGGTTATGCAACTTTTATTTAATATAACAGCATTCTACATCATTAAATATATATTTTTAAATGGTATTTTTCACTCCTGCATACAACTCCCTTGGATAAATACATTATATTAACAATATAAATAATGCTACAGCTTTCAACCTTGTAACTTACATCTCTGAGCATCTCCCTGGTTAATTTCTGTCCTAAGAGTAGAATGACCAGGTCAAAGAATATGACTATTATAAAAAATCACCACGGAAAGCTTACCAATTTTTATTTCACCAGCAATATAATGAAAGTATTATTTCATGAAGTTTCACTATCACTGAATGTTATTTGTCATATTTCTCTTTTATGTATTATTTCTTTTTTGAGTTATCTGTTTATATAATGTGCCAATATTCTATTATAAATTAATTTTCATATTTTGTTTTATGTTATTTATATACTTTGAATTATTTTCCTCTTATTTTATTTTATTTTATTATTATTATACTTTAAGTTTTAGGGTACATGTGCACAATGTGCAGGTTTGTTACATATGTATACATGTGCCATGTTGGTGTGCTGTACCCATTAACTCGTCATTTAGCATTAGGTATATCTCCTAATGCTATCCCTCCCCCTGCCCCCCACCCCACAACAGTCCCCAGAGTTGATGTTCCCCTTCCTGTGTCCAGGTGTTCTCATTGTTCAATTCCCACCTATGAGTGAGAACATGCGGTGTTTGGTATTTTGTCCTTGCGATAGTTTGCTGAGAATGATGGTTTCCAGTTTCATCCATGTCCCCACAAAGGACATGAACTCATCATTTTTTATGGCTGCATAGTATTCCATGGTGTATATGTGTAAGAAAAATTTCACAGAGCTTTTGTACAGATTAAATTTACCAAAGCTAGTGATGCCATAGTAAATTAACAAATACCAAAGTTGATAAGTAAAACCAAATGTAGCTTACAACCTTAAGTGACCACAATTTTATATAACAGTATTCTAGTAAATGTAGTTTTTCTTATAGCAAATATTCTAGACTAGAGGTTATATGTCAACTATTTGGAGAACAATTAAAGGAAAAATATATTTTACTGCTATAGCAAGTCTCTTTGTTCTAATTAGCAAACTTTGTAGTGTTGGGATAACTTTATATTGATGGGGTACAAATAAATATTAATTAAACTGTGTAGTAACAATTATGCAAGTATTCACTAATGTTGTTCTCATCTAACAGTAAGTGATGGCTGGCCACATGCTTGTCCTCCCAAAGCACTTGTGTCAACAGTCACCATTTGTCCAAGTTTCTTCATTTACGGTCATTAGTTAAAGTTAGTAGTTTCTGCCCTAATATGTTTTCTAGACAAGGCTGAGGTAAAATATATGAGGCTTATAATTTTATGTTTTCACAGCCTCTTTTTTTTTCTATGGGCCAGGACCCTTTTAAAGAGCTCAACTGGAACAAGTTTCAAATGAACCTGACTTGAGCTCTTTGAAAGTGTCCAGGCCCATAGGAAAAAAAAAAAAAATATATATATATATATATATATATTGCATGACCTCACTTTCACGTGAACCTTTAAAAAATTCAAATATACAGAGACAGAGAACAAAACAGTGGTTACCAGGGGCAGGGGAGTGGAGTATTGGTGGGAGAAGGAGGGGTAAGGAAATATGGAGATGTAGGTCAGAAGATACAAGTAGCAGATATGTAAGATGAACAGGTCTAGAGATCTAATGTACAACATGAGGACTATAGGTAATAAAATTGAACTGTATATGAGACTCATGCTAAATGAGTAGATTTTAGCTGCTCTTGCTACAGAAACAAACAAAAAATTGGTAACTATGTAAGATAATGGATATGTTAACTCGCTTCACTATAGTAACCTTTTAACAGTCTATATGTCTCCCATAACATCATGTTTTATACCTTAAGCATATACAGTAAAATGTATTTTTTAAAAAGAGGGGCATTCAGGCCTTTCCTGAATTAGATACTGCAAGCAATACAATGCTCTCTTGCTGGCCTTCAAGGAGCAATCCCATGAACTGCCTAGTGAGAGGGACAGCCTCTACAGCTGAGGACTTCAGTTTTACAACCACAAGGAGCCAAATTCTGCCAACAAACTGATTGTGTTTGGAAGAGGACCCAGGCTTCAGATGAGAATGCAGCCTAGTTGATACCTTGGTTTCAGCCTTGTGAGCAAAAAATCCAGTTATGCCATGCTCAGGCCTAAAGATATTATGAGAAAATAAGTGAGTATTCTCCTAAACCACTAAACAACATACATAAATAGTAAATTTCCAAGCTTGGTTGGCCAATATCTGTGTTTATGTACTACGCCTATTTAATCTATTTGAAAAGGGATCTTCAATGTGTTTATTTGTCATACTGTATTTGTTTGATTCTCCTTTCCATTTATCATGAGCTTGTTTTATTTTCCTGCAGTATAGTGACATGTAACTACAGCCTGACAATTGTTCTACCTTTAATATGCCAAGCTGTAGTAGGGGCATTTTTAATCTTTGTCTTAACACCTACATGACATTTCAATAAGGCACAGAGAAAACCATCAATTTTTCATCATAGAATTTTATTTTGCCTTCAGAAGTTGGCAGATCAAGTAATCTATTGCCAATGACCTTCACAAATGAAAAAATAAAAATTAGACAATTTCTGGAATCTTTTGATCCGGAAAAATGTCAAATATACCTTGACAGCCAAGGCACTCAAAAAGCAGTAGGCCTATCAGCAGAAGCCTCCATTTTCCCATTCCAAGCTTATGTTTCCTGTAGGGACAAAATGCACTTTAAAGACAGTTCCACTCATTAAGTTCCAAACACCTCAAATCAATCCCTGTGATTGTGGAAATCTTAGTAAATCCACTGTCTCACACGCAAGACCTCAACATAGCCCTAATCACTTTCCTCAGTTGCATTCAAGCCATTCACGGCATCCACATCTCCTCACTCAGGATGTTCTCTCTGCCCTCACTGCCATCTCATGACATTCACCCCAAGGGAGCCCATTGTTTGGCCCCCACCCCTCCCCAGTCAAATAGCTCTGCACTTGGTTGGAAAGCACTAGGCCATACATTTTATTTTGGTGTACGCCAAAAGTTCCGAATCATAAGTGTCATCTGGCTAATATATAAATAAATATTAGATAGCTTGATTCCCAGGACCTTTCCCTGAAGATTCTTCTTTAGAGGTTTATAGGAAAGCCCTGGGATTCTTGCTTGTAACCACACTCCAGGTAATACTTACGATCACATGCCTGATTTGATAGCATCATCTTAATTAGGAAACTCCAAACTCCCAGATGCTGGTAGGTGTTTTTCAAAGTTTGAATCCATCTAGGTGAGAAACAAACACACCCCTCTCCCCAGAACCCACTCCTTGCAAGTGTTATTCCTTGAGACCTTGCCCCTTTTAAGTCATATGGCTGTCATCTGAATGCATCTGAGTTTGTGAACTTTATTTTAGTTACTACTTACATATTCACGCTTTCCCTTTTGCAGATAATTTTAATTCCCGAAAAATAAACAGAAAAAAGTAAAATCTTCTCTTTCTTTGAAATCCATCCAGCATGCAGAAAGGTTTGTTTGCACATCTTTTGCTCTTCTTTTTTTCCTTTCTGTCCTTTGTTTCCCGGGCAGTCGTAGTGTTGTTGTTGTTGCTGTTGTTGCTGCTGCTGCTGCTAACATGGTGGCCCTCCCTAAAGTATTCTCTGACAGACTATATGAGCCTTTGGGGTACACGAATGGTAGGCTGACAGGCGTGGAACTCCGATTTCATCATGACTCAGGGTTGGAGCAAGCTGAGTTTTGGATCTATAAGATTAAGGCCCTCTGGTTTGACCTATTAGGCATCACTCTCTGAAAGCAAAGCAATAACATAGCAGGTATGCTGAAGCTGTTAGCATCCTGCTAGGACGATGTCCACTGTGCACTCAACTGGAGCGTGTACTCTGGGGGAAAAGTGCCATTCATTACTCTCTACTCTAGTGGAAAGACTGGGTAATCCTTTTACCCAGCATAAAGCTCTGAGGATTGACCCAGTGTTACACACAGCTATTTCTCTAAAAGAGTTAGAGAATCAGGTTCACTTACTTGTATTTTTCTTCATTTTAACAACGCTATTTTATAGGATCTAGAAAAGAATGGCAAAAAAAAAAAAAAGGAAGATGTGATCTAGGAGGAACTTACTGGGGTTGAATGATTTTATATATACATATATACTTTTTTTGAGACAGGGTCTCCCTCTGTGGCCCAGGCTGGAGTGCAGCGGCACCATCTTGGCTCACTGCAACCTCTGCCCCCTGGGTTCAAGCAATTCTCCCACCTTAGCCTCCTGAGTAGCTGGGATTACAGGTATGCACCACCACAGAATGGCTAATTTTTGTATTTTTAGTAGGAACAGAGTTTCATCATATTGGCCAGGCTGGTCTCGAACTCCTGACCTCAGGTGATCCACCCACCTCAGTTTCCCAAAATGCTGGGATTATAGGCATAAGCCACTGCGCCCAGTCTAAATCTAGATATATTTAGGAGAGGCTTTGCTGAATCAGAGGAAATAGGCTTACATGCAGCATGAGAGATTTTAGTTATTAGGGACAAGGTGTCAGCTGAGAGTAAATGGCTTCTGCCAAAGGTCATAATTTCTCCCTTCCCAGAACTCCCCAAGAAAAGTGTAAAGAGCCCTGAGTTCTGGGTGTTTCAGACTTCCATCTGCCCACAAGTAGCAGGAGAATGGAGAAAACGTGTCCTGAGTACTTTCAACAAACATGTGTCAGGTGCTTATTCTTTGGCAAAGACAGTTTCAAGCACTAGGACCCAAGGACAAATAAGTCTCTGCCCTCAACGTTGAAACAGAGCAATTAATGAAGTAAAACAAAGCAAGTGCTATATATCAAAGATAAATGAAAGATTAATTGGGGCACAGAAGATAAATTTTACCTCTGCCTGAGGGTAAGAGCAGGAAAGCTATCCACAAAGACTAAGCAGAAGTTGTATCTCTTGGCTTAAGTCTTGATAGCTGAGTAAAAGCTCACCAGGTAAACAAATGGGGCAGGACATAGTAGGCAGAGGGAATAGCACATGCATGGAAGTTGTGGAGAGTAAAATCCAGTCAGATTTAGGTATAACATGTGCCAGGAGGGGTGGAGGTGGGAGGAGGAGGCAACTTGAATAGGTAGTTGGACCAATAGGCAGATGTTAGTTGATAAAGGGCTCATTGGCTAGGCCATCACCCTCGGAGGATAGCCTCCCACACAGACACATGTGCTTGGTTAAAGGAATGAATATTTGGGCATCAAGATTTGTCCAAGATCTGGACCAGGAGGGTTAACAACAGATGTGCCATTAAGAAGCCACTTAAGAGAACAGTGGAAATATGACATCTGGAGCAAGAAGTCCCACCCGAACCCCAAAATGGTAACCTAAGTATTGAAGTAAAGGGAAGACATCCAGATAAACATGACTAATTGACCACACATTTTATGCCCTCTTTCTTCTGAAGCCCCATTAAAATTCAGTGAAGGAATTTTTTTTAAGTGTGTACATACACAAGGGCGAAGAGTTAAAAGAGAGGACATTGGGAGATATACCTAATGCTAGATGACACATTAGTGGGTGCAGCGCACCAGCATGGCACATGTATACATATGTAACTAACCTGCACAATGTGCACATGTACCCTAAAACTTAGAGTATAATTAAAAAAAAAAAAAAAGAGAGAGGACAATGGCAAGTGAACAATATTTTTTAAACATAAAAAATGGAAAACAAACAGAAGAGTGGTAACTGATGTAAAAGAGGCTGAACCCTAAGCATCTACAGAGAAAGAGGACAAAGGGAAGCAAACCCAGTGAGACATAGGAAAGGCCAGGTAGGTGTTGGTAAAGCAGGGGCAAGGCACGAGACTGAAAAGGAAAGTGATGAAAGTTTTTGTGCTGAGTAATTACACACCCCTAAATTTGCTTCACCACCTTTGTGGCCAAGAGAAGATCTTTATCTATTCCTCCCCACTCTTGCTGTCAAACGCTGACAATCAGGCATATTCTCCCCAAGCAGAGAACTAAAGGGTTATTTTCTGGAGAAACTGGCCCGTATTAATCAGAAAGAATAGGCCTTGCTGTAACAACTAACAAATCCTTTAAAAAGTGTGTTTCTTACTCTCATCAGTCTGGAACAGGTCAGATTGTGTGTCTCTATATCATAGCTAAACATCTAGAACATGTAGAATCTGATAGCATTACAGGAGGAAAAGAGAGAGTTTGAGGATTGTACAAGATGTGCACAAATTGACCCACACCTCATTGGCCAGAATCAAGTCATATGGCCCCACTCTAACTAAAAGGGAGATGGAAAATTTAGATAAGCACATGAGTATTGGGTAAGCATTTACAATCTCTGTCACGCAACCTCAGAGAAATGATTACAAATGCTAACATTTACTGTTTTCTCCTAAAAAACAATTATCCCATAATTATCCTTTGATGAACCCTACTTAATAAACTCAACCCATGCACGTGAGATTCACTTCAGCTGTTTAGTGCCAGAGTACAAGATGTCTGAGAAAGTCTTCCAACATGGAAAATAGAGACCAACATGAATAAATGGGAAAAAGAAAACAATAAAAAGAAATAATGATGATACAGAAAAAAGAAGAAAACTTTTAAAAAATCACAAATAATATCCTCAGGTAGGAGTGAAAATATTGCATCACTTAAAACAAGAAGAATAGTCTATTAAAATAAAAACACATCAGCAAATAAGAAAGAATTCTTAGAAATTAAAATAGCAATATCCAAGCTAGAATTTAATACCCAAGCTAAAATTTAAAAGAAGGGTTGAACAATTAAGTCAAAGAAATCTCCAAAGAATAATCTTAAAAAATAAAAAAATGGAAAGAAAAATAAGTGTCAGAGGATCAATTCACAGGTTTCAATATCTGACAAATAACAGTTTCAAGAAAAAGAAAAGAAAAAGAGAAGAAAATGTTCAAAGGAGTTACTCAATACATTTCTCAGTACTGAAGCATGTGAATTTCCAGACTGAAAGGACCTCCAAGTGCCCAGTAGAATAATTTTTTAAAAATCTACACCAAAGCACATCATCTTGAATTTTCACATTACCAGAAATGAAGAAAAACCTTAGTAGATTCCAAATGGGCAAATAATAAAAAGCAACACGGATCATTTTAGCATTAGAATTTGCAAAACTATTTATTAATATACTGCAATATCTTGAAAATGCTAAGAGGAAATATTTCCAATCTATAATTCTGTACCTAATCACCAATCCAGTATGATAGAGAATAAAATAAAATAATGTATTTACAGTAGTTAATGACCAAAAAAAATGTATCTCCTATGAGCCCCTTTCCAAGGAGATTCTGAAGAATTTGCTCCACCTAAAATGAGAGAGTAGAGCCAGAAAATAGAAAATCCTATGCACAAGACAGGCAAAGAAAATTCTCACAATGGTGGGGAAGGCAGTCCCTGAACGACAACTTTGCAGTAGGCTTGAGAGCAACCATTCCAGTCCAGAGACTATGAAATTCCAGAAAGGAGGTCTCCAGAAAAAAAAAAACAACTCATAACTGATAGATTACATGATGTATCTGAACACACAGAAAATAGTACTGCAAGGCAGCACTATTTTACAAATACACTGGGCCGTCCATGTTCATGTCAACATATAAGAAACATGGAAGTCATCATCCTTGTCCTCACAATAAGAAAAAAAAACCTGAACAGACTGAAAATCAACCACGTTTCTTATACCTGTCAGAGAATTGGCAAACTACCACCCTGAAAACTGAAGAGACAGGTGAATACAAAGAATACAGATCAGTTTACCTGAATCAGAAGCTACTGGAATCTGTAATCATTTGAACACTTCAAAAGTAAAATCAAAAAATTGCTAAGCATTTGAGTGTGGGCTAGCATGAGAGTTTAAAATTCTTGGGGTGGTTTTTTCCTGAGGGGGCCCCCACTTACATGAATGTTACCTCTAAGGAGCCCCATCAGCTTGTTAGGAAAAGAGCAGAGAAAAATCCCATAGAGCCTTTCTGTCTCATCTACAGGGGACAGGGGAGTGTGACAAGCACTTATGAAGATCAAAGCCCAGAGGCACAGGCCCACTAAAAACTGAGACCTAATTGTAGAGATATAGAATGTTTTTCCTTCTCCCCATATCTTACCATCACATCAGTCAGGCTCTTATATAATAACAGTGGATTATGGCAGAAAGAACTGCAATGCTCAGACTTTACTTAAGAAGGAGTATCTAGGAAAACCTGAAGACAAAAGGAGACAAAAATGAAGACGCTAGAGGAAACTGACGCCTCTAATATCCAGAGCTACAGCAAACAATAAACACAGCCTAACTCCTAGCCAGATAAACATAAAATCTCACACTAAAGGCCTATCTACCTCAACTCCTAGTATCATGTCTAATCTTCAACAAAAATTTACAAGTCATAGTAAAATGCAAGGAGAAACATGATCTGCAAAGACAACGCAGCATCAAAACCAGACTCATATATGGCAGGGATTTAGAATTATCAGTCCATGAATTTAAAATAACTAAAATTAATATACTATGGTCTCTGATGGAAGAAATAGACAATATGCAAGAATAGATGGGTAATATAAGCAGAGAGATGAAACTTTTAAGAAAAGATAAAAAGGAAATGTTAGAAATAAAAAAATTTAACAAAAATTAAGAATGCCTTTGATGGGTTCATCAGGACACTGGACACAGCCAAAAAAAGAATTAGTGAGCCTAAATCTATGTTGATAGAAACTTTCTAAACTGAAATTCAAAGAGAAAAAAGAATGAAAAAAATGAAAGATAATATTCAAGAACCCTGGGACAATTACAAAAGGTATAACCTATGCATAATGGGATACCAGAAAAAGAAACAAAGAGAAAGGAGCCAAAGAATTATTTGAAGTTATAACAGCTGAGAATTTTCTAAAATTGATCACAGAAACCAAACCACAAATTCCAAAAAGTTATAAAACACCAAGCAGAATAAATGTCCAACCCCTGAAAAAAATCTACACCTGGGTATCATATTCAAACTGCAGAAAACCAAAGTCAATGAAACCTTGATAGAAGCCAGAGGGGAAAAAAACACCTTATCTATGGAAGAACAAGTATAAAAATTACACTGTACTCATCAGAAACCACAAAAACCAAAAGTAAGTAGAATGAAATATTGAAAGTGTTAAAAGAAAAAACCACCAGTCTTAAATTCTGTATCCAGTGAAATTATCCTTCAAAAGTGAAGAAGTAACAGATTTTCTCAGGCAAATACAACTGTGGCTATTTGTCACCAGCAGACTTGTCTTGAAAAGAAAAAAATGCCAAAGCAAACTTCTTTGGTGAGGTGGAAATGACATAGGTTAGAAATATGGCTCTACATAAAGAAAGAAAGGGTGTCAGAGAAGGAAAAAAAAGTAAAATAAAATATTTTTCCTATTTTTACCTGATCTATGGATAACTGTTCAAAGTAATAATAATAACAATGTATTGGGTGATATAGCATATGAATAAATGAAATAAATGCCAATGATACTATAAGGAATAAGAGGAAGGAATTGGACATGCACCACCCATGAAGTGGTATAGTGTCATTTGAAAGTGGATCTGGATTACTTATAAATGTGTATTGCAAACTCAAGGGCAACCTCTAAAAAAATTAAAGAAATATAATTGATATGCTGAGAGGAGAGAAAATGGAATCATATAAAATGCCTACAAAAAAGCAAAAAAGAGGAAGATTTTTTTAAAAAAGAAACAAATAACAAACACAATGAATAAAAAAACAGTTACAAGTAAACTGGAATGTTTGGAGGAAATAATATGTATAAGGAAAACTCAGGAAATGGAAACATGAATCAAATACAAACTTGAAGTGTGGGGAGGAGGAGCTGTACAAGAAAAATAATGTAATTATACTGAATTGTTTGACTCAATATAATAAAGTAAAAGCTGATTTTGATAAAAATTGTAATTACCTTAAATAGGTGGAGCAGGAAAAAGGGGGATTATAAAAGAACTAAACACTTATCTGCCACAATAAGAAGTCAGTAGAGCCGGGTGCAGTGGCTCATGCCTGTAATCCCAGCACTCTGGGAGGCGAAGGCAGGTGGATCATGAGGTCAAGAGATTGAGACCATCCTGGCCAACATGGTGAAACCCCATCTCTACTAAAAATACAAAAAAATTAGCCAGGTGTTGTGGTGGGTGCCTATAGTCCCAGCTACTCGGGAAGCTGAGGCAGGAGAGTCACTTCAACCCAGGAGGCGGAGGTTGCAGTGAGCCAAGATTGTGGCATTGCACTCCAGCTTGGCACTGGCACACAGCGAGACTCTATCTCAAAAAAAAAAAAAGTCAGTAGATAATAATCAAGAAAGAAATAAGAAATAGAAACAAAAACATTATATTTAGAAATGTGGAGATAAATGCCACAAGATGAAGCTAAAAGTGTAGAAAGTGGTTGCTTCAGGGAGCAGATTTCTGGTGCATATTTTTCTACCAGAAGCATTTTAATACTATTTGATTTTTTTAAACAATATGCATGTATTGCATTAATAAAAATAAATATTCATATTAAAAGTAAAGATAGACTTGAAAGAAAAGAATAGCATGAAGTCAAGGACTGGATAAGTCAATAAGGTTTTTCCAGTATTTGCTTTGTTCAAATTGTTTTTTATTGGGGAGCTCTGTGTGTGCTTCTAGCAGAGTAGAAAGTGGTGGTTTTCAAACTCTGCTCCAAGAAACCCTGGAGTTCTGCAGAAGAGTCTTAGGGCCACCCCATGGGATGGTGTAAGGGCAAGGCATTCTTTTCAACATCTTCAGGTCCTTTCCCTGGCTTAACTAGAGGGGCTTAGCTTTCATCTTTTTTCATTTTTATTCCACATAAGATCTCATTGAATAAATGTTTGATTGCTGCTGGAAGAATAGTGATGTTGAAATTCCCTCCCTGCAAGTTTCGAGCTGAATAACCTTAAGGTAGTCCCTTTACCTCTCTGTACCTGCTTCAACTGGAGGCAGTGAGGTGTGTAAAGCATCTAATACATTGCCTGATCTGTAGTAGGTGCTCAGTAAATGTTGATTCCCCTTTTTCTTATCACCCTGGAAATCCTAAAGGCACTGTGTGGCCCCTCAACTAGGATCCCCTAGGGCTGAAGAAAAGACCTTTCTTTTTCTGCTAAATGGAATAGGAGTCAGCTGGCTCCCCCATCCCCTTCTTTCTGCCTGGAACACCGACAGATGCAGTAGCATCTATATTGCAACCACCAAGGAAAGGCCAAGAGAATCACAGAAATGTCACAGATATAATAGCTTTGCTCTATTGAATCAATGCCACCAGATGCCATATCAATCAGAGTACCAGCAGGAAACAGGTGGCACACTCAAAGAGTGACTAAACAGAGGTTCATACAGGGCCTCTCTTTACAAAGGTGTGGGCGAGCCGAGGAGAATCAATAAGGAATAATGAAACCTCAGGAACCATCAACAGTGAGGAGCCATTAAAACTTCAAGCTTGAAAGGGAAGGAGAGGAAGGTATTAATACAAGAGGCTTGAACCAGGAGAAAATAGAGAAGGGATTCCCCATAAGAACTGTTGTTTTAGGTAAAAGATTCCAGCCACAAACCAACTGGGTCCAACATAGAGGAAGCCAGGAAAAGAAATATCCCAACTTCTCTCTCCTCCCTGTTTGTGATCTCCAGCTGTTGGCCAACCCAATCCAAAGTTGGCCAGCCTAATCCATTGTTGGCCAACCCAATCCATTGGCCAACCCAATCCAAAGTACAGGGGTTAGAGAGCACAGGTAACACACTCCTTAGAGATCACCTTCCCAGAGCACAAAGCAGGGCAAAAAGAGGTGGACAATGGGCACAGCCAACTGCCTCCAAACTTTTTATCATATGACACAAATTCCTATTTGTTAAAGCCAACATTAAATTTCCAAACACATTCTAATATAACACATCCATTAAAGATAGGTCATTAGACAGACTTTGCCTGGTGAAGGATAGCCTGGAGTTGGAACTAGTTTGGAGTTCTGCTAAGAGGCTGTAGGTAGAAATAGGAAAATGATGATAGGGGGAAAGTCCCAAAGATTAACAATCCTTACATCAATCAAATGGGATCTGGGGATAGAGGCAGAATTTTGTATGGTCTCACAAAGCTGCTCACATTTAGGGTCTTCTGGTTTGGCTGCTGAATTTATGACGGCAATCAAAGGTCAAGTGCATTTTAAATCAGAGATATTGGAGAGGGCTCTACAGAAACAGACTCCTGCAACCATCTGAATTACAATATTACTTCATGTGGGAGGTCATAAATTCTGAATATTTCACAGAGGAAGAGAGTTTCTAGGTCGCCTGTAGCCACAGACCCAGGGTCTTTTGTGAGTACATTTGCCAGGATCAGTTGGGCCCTGGGACCAGGTCCCCTAATGACAGCTCTAGGCCTTCAGCTTGAAAGTGTCAACAATAATTTATACCAATCTAGGTCATGTAGTAGCTCTGTTGGAGAAAGCACACCCAGGGCCCCAATAGGTTGGTTAGAGGCAAGGTTCTATGTCCAGAAGTTTTTAAATGAGGTTTCCAGGATGGATGACATGGAAATTGAACCATGTGAATAACTATTATTTATTCACCTGTCACAAGTTAAGTTGCTTGTGGGGATTATATATTGGAATTTAAGGGCTCAATTAAATAACACCCCATTGTCAAGTTTTGAACTGATTGAGAAATAAGAACCAAGAGACAGACAGATGGAGATCAAAAGGGCAGCTTTACTTTTGGTAAAGCAGATTAGAGAACATGGATTTAAATCAGTGGTCTCCATTGTCATCCTGACACCAACTTCAGAAATATTCTTACCTGCTCCATGACAGGTTGAACTAGAAATCAGAGGACACCCATTTAAGGGCAAAGTTCACCCAGTAATCTGTCCATATACTGAGGACAGACCCAAATACACCTGCTATGCAGGCCAGCAGTTTTGAGAGAGAGCTTGGGAAGTTTGAATGGAGCAATTTCCTTTGCTTCCACCTAAACTCACCAATCAGGTAAGGAGCAAGTGAGGGAGCTGGAGAGGGCTGGAAAGAGATGTCATTGCAGTGGAAGCTCCTCGTGGCGATGAGAAGCAAGTAGAATGGAGTTCAAATGGATACTCTCTTTTACTGTTGTGACGGGGGGCGGAAGGGGGCAGATTTTTCCTATCAGCATGGAAAAGTTCAAGTCAGTCCCATTCAAAAAGTAGCACTAGGCCTTCATGGCCATGACTTTGTTCTCTTGACATAGTCAGATGGATTTTATTTTACCAGGGATTGGCACAAGCAAATGAGAAAGCTGAAGACAGAGAGAAACGTATGGTACATCAATACATCCATTTGTATCATAAAAAAGTAATTGGCTTAGAAAACACCAGAAAGGAAGTGAAATTATATTATAATATAATATAATAGTATAATATAATATAATATAATAATATAATATAATATAATATAATATGATATAAATCTTCCTAGACAACCATAGGCCAGTAGAACAGCTGATACTTCATCAGTAGGTCCACAAGAGAGGACATTTGAAAAGGGATGGAAGGAACCACAAGAAACCACAAATATCTTCCTGTTCCCTGCCTATCCCATCCCAGCATAGCACCAACCAGATGATAACTGGCAGTCTCCTTCACAGTGAATGCCTGATGACAGTGACCATCTTGGCATGGGCTTGGAAAGATGCCTGTCCTTTATGTAGGAGCAGGCTTTTTGCTAAGATTTAGTCATGAAACTAAACAAAGAAAATAAATAGGTAAAAATGCTAATAGAGTCCTCCTCAAAAAGCAAGTGTTAAAAGCTTGAGAAATTTCTTATTGATCAAAATGTTTCCACACTTCTCCTACTCACCCTCCCACCTACCATCTCCCAGGAGGAATTCTATTGAGTGGAAAGTGATCAGATGCAGGAGACTGCCCTCCATGGATATTCTGTTTACTGCTGAGGCCAGTGGGCCACCCACAGAGGTGTCATATGGAAGGACTTTATCCAGCCCAGATCCTGGGCCAATGTGAAACTGGACTCAGCTTATGAAGTTGTGGTTTGTCTTATAGGATATTACTCCATCACCGATAACTTGGGTTTTCCCCTAGAAAGTTCTTATCTTTCCCCAATAGAGGATCTTCTGTTGCACACATGAGCCCATTTTTCTGTTGCCCTAGCATCAGTTAATCATGAGTGTGTTCCCAGCTAGGTCTGAGGTTCCCATCAGCCTAGGCAAGGGCTTATGTCCAAAAGATGTTAACTATCGCCTCTAGCCTACACGAGTCTAATTCTTAGTCTTTGGAAAGGATTTGCAGCCTGTAGAAAGGACAAATTGCCCCCAATTTGGTTGGTCAAAACACTTCTTTTAGTGGATAATCAGTTTTTATTTTGTAACTGCTAATTTTGACATCAGGAACAGTCTTTGCCATTCTTGTAATGGTAGTTTCTGTAGCTTACAAAACAAACAATGAAGCATTTCCCAATGTTTTTACTTTGTCAAACATGAACATTTTTAAAACTAGCTGCCATTCTCCTATTTCTATCATATTGTGAAAGAAAGGGCATTTAGACCGGGAGCAGTGGCTCACACCTGTAATTCCACTTTGGGAGGCCTACACAGGAGGATTACCTGGGGCCAGGAGTTCAAGACCAGTCTGGTCAACATAGTGACACTCTGTCTCTATAAAAAAAAATTTTTTTTTTAAATAGCCAGGCATGGTGGCACCAGCCTGTAGTCCAGCTACTTGTAAGGCTGAGGCAAGGGTATTCCTTAACCCATGAATTCAAGACTGTGGTCAGTCATGATCATGACACTGCACTCCAGACTGGGCAACAAAACAAGATCCTCTCCCTACAAAGCAAACCAAATAAACAAAAGAAAGAAAGGATATCTAACAAAAATCACAGAATGACAGGTATTTTTTCTTTAAACTGAAAAATAGGTAGCCTTATAAAAAAAATTAACATTATCTTTATTTGCCAAACTTTATTGAGAGCCAGTGAAAACACTGTTACAGTCTGGCATTTGGGAACCACTGCTCTTCAACTGTAGGTTACAGGGACACAGATAAGTATAGGATACAAATAATTATTTAAACATATGAGAAAGCAGGACTAATAACATGCATTTTTACTCAGGCAAGTTATTTACAAAGGCTAGATTCTACCAAATATTTGCAAAGCAGCTTTTCTTCTACCAATCGCTTTCTCGGAAAACAAAATTGTAATTTTTTTAAAGAAAATTACATATGTACAACAGTACAAATTCAAATAAAAGCTAATTTTAATGCCAGGCATCAAAATGAACAGCATGCATGAAATTCCAAGGGCACAGTTGGCAATAAATTTTCTTCATTATAAAGGCAATGTTTTTCCAGTGAGTGGAGGCAGGTTTGGGCTAGCAGAATTTTCAATAAATTAAAATACAGAAGCTGAAAGCAAATAGAGGAACAATGCCAGAAAGGTCCTTTTCAGAAAGCATGTTTTGAGAGGCTGCACAAATTGATGTTTATTTATCTTGACGAATATATTCTTCTCTGGTGCACCCCACTTTCTCCCCTGTCCCCGCCAATCAACATTCATGCACCATCTCCTAAAAGAAACTAATCTGTGGTAAACAATGAATCACAGTTGTATCATCAAGACTGTGGCCTCATCCCTAGAATATCAGCACTGCAAAACAATAAAACATGGTGACAATAAAACTGGTTCCAAAAAAAATTTACTGAAAGGCACTTTTTGTATGTTGAAAGATGGAGAGTTTTACTTGAAACTCAGAAGCAAATTACTCAGACTCTCAGACTCAACGGTGCTGTATATATAATTCAATCAATAAATATTGTTTATAGGCACTGTGGGACATTCAAAAATGAACAAGACACAATCTCAGCTCTCCAGAAGCTCAAGCATAGTAGTTAGAAATGATATGCAGTCCTCCTTGGGGACCATTAAAGTGGGCCCAGTGCTGTGCTACACTGTAGGCAGATTAGTTCCAAACTGAGGACATCAACAAAGAAGGGCCACTAATAAAGTAAAATCATGGCTGGAAGAGTTGTTCACACCTGTAATCCCAGCACTTTGGGAAGCCAAGGCAGGTGGATCACTTGAGCCCAGGAGTTCAAGACCAGCCTGGGCAACACGGCGAAACTCCATCTCTACAAAAAAAAATAAAAAATCAGCTGGGCATGGTGGCACATGCCTGTAGTCTTAACTACGTGAGAGGCTGAGGTGAGAGGATTGCTTGAGCCCAGGAGGTCAATGATGCAGTGAGCCGTGACATGCCTCTGCACTCCAGCCTGGCTGACAGAGCAAGACCCTATCTCTAAAACAAAACAAAACAAAACAAAACAAAACAAAACAAAACAAAATAAAATAAAATAAAATAAAACCAAGAGTTTTACCTAGAGTTTTATGCTCAGAAAACCTAGAAAAAAGTTATTTTGATTTCAGCATGTATATAAATTTTGCATCATGTTTTAAAATATATTTTGAATTATTCATGTGGGCAACAATGTAGTCCCAAGGTGTCAGGCACCCTAAGGGTGTCGTCACCTGTGTCCAGGGGTGAATGTGGCTTTTCCTTCTGAGACCTGGGAGCATTTTGAAGAATTAAATATTCGTTTTCATAAAAATCTATCTAGGATAAGAATTGACTATGCATGTATAATGATTGTGAATCATTAGTTTTATACATAGGGTATTATCTTCACCCTGCATCTTTACAGTGATTTATATACTATCTTACACTGTCTGCTTCTAGCTGTGAGCTTTGGACTTCACACTTTCCACCTTGATGATAAACAATGGAAGGCAGTGACTATACATTATTCAGGACATCTGTATTATAAGTCAATCCTTCACATGCCATTTCCTACTAATGTTACTCATTTTTATAACACATTTGGTTGTGAGCCATCTTGTTCGCAATCATATCTATGATAAGCCAAGCAGTCACCTTGGCTTCAACTTTGGCATATTACCATAAATTTCTTGGGTAATTGCCTTAAGAGAAATCGACTGTTGCATTTTTACTGTCCTAAGACAAAACAGAAGGAAGGAAAAATCTTAAGTGTTAAACAAAAGGCCTCTCTGTCCCTTCAGCAGCTAGTCTCCTGGGTAGAGATGTGGACACAATAGATCTGTATTTATTCACTAATATCAGGTTCTATTTCAGGACTAGCTAATTCAAGATCTCTAGGAGTGGGCCCAGGCATCACTATTTTTCAAAGCTCCTCGAGTGATTATCATGTGTAGCCAAGGTTGAGAATCAGCAACAGTGATGGTTCCTCTACCCCACCTACCCCTTCTGTCAAGTTCACACTGATTCAGAAACAGATTGTTATGACTTGGCTTTGATAACACAGCCCAGTATATTCTCCAAATCCATTAGGTTTGGTGTCAACATTTTTAAGGTTAATAATAATCACACAGGCCGAGCGCAGTGGCTCATGCCTGTTATCTTTGGGAGGCCAAATCAAGCGGATCGCTTGAGGCCAGGAGTTTGAGACCAGCCTGGCTAATATGGCAAAACCCCATCTCTACTAAAAATACAAAAATTAGCTGGGCGTGGCAGCACACGTCTGTACCCCCAGCTCCTCGGGAGGTTGAGGGAAGAGAATCACTTGAACCCGGGAGGTGGAGGTTGCAGTGAGCCAAGATCGTGCCACTGCACTCCAGCCTGGGTGACAGAGTAGGACCCTGTCTCAATAAATAAATAAATAAATAAATAGAAAAATATATATTTTATGTACATTATATATATATTATATATATATATATATATATATATAATATATATATATAATGGAATTCTATTTAGCCTTAAAAAAGAAAGAACTCCTGTCATTTGTAACAACATGTATGAACCTGAAGGATATTATGTTCAGTGAAATATGCCAGGCACAGAAAGACAAATACTACATAATCTCACTTATATGTGGAATCTTATAAAACCAAACTCATAGAAACAGAAAGTAAAATAGTGGTTGCCAGAGGCTGAACAGGAGTGTGGGGGATTAGGGAGCTGTTAGTCCAAGACACAAAATTCTAGTTAGAAAAGAGAAGTAAGTTCAAGAGATCTATTATACACCATTGTGACTACAGTTAATAACAATATATTGTGTACTTGAAAATTGCTAAGAGTATTTTAAGTGTCCATAACCACAAAAAAATGTTAATAAGTACGTGAGCGTCTTAATCCATTTTTGTTACTACAAATGAATAACTGAGGCTGGGTAATTTATAAAGAAAAGGTTTTTGATTTACAATTCTGCAGACTGAACATGAAAGCATGGTGTCAGCCTCTGCTTCTGGTGAGGGCTTCAGGTTGCCACTCACAGCAAAAGATGAAAAGGAGCCAGTGTTTGCAGAGATCACATGGTGAGACAAGAAACAGGAAGGGTGGGGAGATGCCAGACCCCTTTTAACAACCAGCTCTCACAGGAACTAACAGAGCGAGAACTCACTCATTATTGCAAGGATGGCACCAAGATATTCACAAGGGATCTGCCCCCATGACCCAAACACCTCCCATTAGGCCCCACCTCCAATGCTGGGGATCACATTTCAACATGCAGTTTGCAGGGGTCAAACATCTAAACTATAGCAGTGAGGTAATGCATATGTTAATTAGCTTGGTTTAGCTATCCCGCAATGTATACATGTATCAAAACATCAAGTTGTACAGCATAAATATATATATAATTTTTGTCAATTTAAAAAATGCTTTTTAACTGCCCTAGGGCAACCAGTGTGAGATATCTCTGGTGTTAAAGATACTTAAAATAATTAATAAAAGCTAAAGCAAATACATAAGCAATCATTTTAAAAGAACAAATAGTCTCCCTCTTGCATAACTGGCCGAAGGAAACCTTCACTCAACAGCCACTTAGTGAATACATCAGGCAAGCTCCCTCTGTCTTCTCCCCTGTCCATCATGACTGAGCAGGCACTGTCTGTGCTATCCTCTGGTGTGTTTTCAGGGCTGTTACCTTTGGCTGCAGCTGCCCAGTTTTGCAACCTTACAACAATCAAGTGAAAAATAAACATCTCCAAGGTTAAAGTTATTCTAATTAGCAATAAGCTCTGAACAAGTTAAGTCAAGAAAATTCCATAAATATATCTTAGATGCTCACTATCTGCAAACATTACTTGCTGCTGTGGAAGATTTAAAAGCAGGTAAAGTAGTACAGCTTGTTCCCTCAACTTCACTGTTGGTGGAAGTGACGAGTTGACCTCAAAGAAGACTTTGGTGTTATGAACCTCAGGAACTGTGGAAATTAAGACTCCATCAACAGAAACAAAATGATGGTAAACAGGGTTAGTTTCCATGGAAGATATTTTGGATGCCTTAGATTTCCAGCCCAGGAAATAAGTTAGGGATAGAACTATAGATATGGGAGTTTTGCCAGATACCTTGTTTGCCTCTTCAGATCTACTCTCCACCCTTTTCCGCTCTGCTATCCACTCCAGAAGTCTGATTTGAACAAACATGGATCATGGCACCCTTGGACTTCCCTTTGGGTTCTACCAGCAGGTGACTGGAGGCAGGGAGGTACAGTGAGATCACTGTTTATTCCCCAGGTTCCCTTCCTGTGAGATTGTCTCACACTGGCCACATCCCTTATAGAAGGCCATTTTTCCTCCATATACACCGCTCTCTCCTTCTGGGTTCCAGTCACCCCTCCCAGCCCTGATCCTTCAGGCTAAATCATACTTTCCCCCAAAAAAGGGGGGAATGCAGAAAAGGAAGAATCACCAGAGAAAAGACCACTTGGGAATCCTTCGTAGTAAAGAGGAAAAAGAAGCCACAACAAAGGAGCCAGCTGAAAGAGAGAACTAGAAAGTAAATGAAAGGTCAAATGGTGTAGATATAAGTCAGTCCCCATCCTGGCCCAGCCATTGAAATATATGTGATAATAGCAGTCATGAGGTGAGTGAAGATGAAGGTGGCTATTTTGAGGTTGTATGCTTGGATCTACATCCTTCCAAACCATACCTACTCTTCTTCCCCTTAAGTTAGCATTGAGAAGACTCAGTGGCTGAAGGCACCCCTCCATCATCAGCCACCACCACCACCCACCCCCAAGCACACTGGCCAACCACTCTCCGTCTTGCCGTCCACCATGCTATAGTGGCCCCGACTCTGCTTTTGGATTGAAGGGCTTTTTCCCCAGCTGCTGAGTCCTGACAGATGAATGTTCTCAGTTGACAGTAATCTACAGAATTTTCCAGGCAATCATCATTACTGAACTATTGCTAGGTCAGTTAGAGAATGCTTCAATTTTCTTTCTATGTGATGATTCTGTCTACAAATAGATTTCTTAGTCGAAGTGCATGAGATTTAGTAAATAGAGATTGATGCTCCAAAGTTACGTTAAAGCATGTATTTTCTAGTTTTGTACAACAGGAATGTGAGCTTTCATTGCTGTAAATTTTTAACTAGAAATGTAAAGTGATTCATTTGTGGAATATTTGATGTCAATCTATATCTTCATAAAAGAAGCATTTCTATTTTTAATCCAGATAACTTCTGCACCTGTCAAAGAACCAATATCCCTAACAAGTCTCCCTATTTGCTTTTAAGATACACCCTGCTCTAATAGTAACATATGGTAAAACTCTGGCTTCTATGACATTGACATGCCACCGATGACATTAGACAAAAAGTAATCAGAAGTTTTAAAAGCATTAATTTATATATTTTTTCTTAAATAATTCATGCACAATTTAACCTGAAACTCATAACCACATATTTATTAAGTGCCTCCTCTGAGCCAGGAAGCACCCCAGGCATTTTATATTCACATATGCATTTATCCAAAAATATTTATTCTTAATTCTCATGAAAACACTTTGAGGTTAGTAATTTTCCATTGTTCACATATTCGTACTCTCAGCGAATATTTACTGACCCCCTACTCCATGTAAGACTCTGTGCTAGGAGCTAGATAAACAAGGCAAATAATAGCATATGCAATCACACAATTTAGTGTACAGCTGTGATAATTGATAGAAAAACTGTATCTTGCTGAGAGATGAAGAAAATAAGGGTCTGAGAGATTAAGGAATGTTCCGGCTTTCTGCCTCCTTTGGTGCTTGATAAGGAGTTCATAACATCATAGCTGCGCTGGGAATCCCCAGCTGCCTGGCCCTCACCAGCAGCAGCCTGTTGGCCCCTCTGTGAGAGGACACCACCACCCCACAAATTGCTCTGCACCCACCACAACCCAAGCAGCTGTTTATCAGCCTTACTTCTGAAGCATGATGAAGTTGGAGGGAGTGTCACCTAACTCTCAGGGCAAGAAATCTGGCACCAGGACAATAATCTAAATCCTGGTGGCTTGGAGTTCATTTTAGAACAATCCTTGCATACTGAGAATACTAGAAGCACATTATATTAATCTTCTCAAAGCAGTCATTACTTCACGGTTCACATTATAGTAGTATGTGCCCGTGTCAATGTATTCATCTTTCTAGCCTCACCTAGAAGCACTTATCTAAAGAAATTTTTGTTGGTAGAAACAAAGAAGAAAGAGAGACAGAAGGAGAGAGAGGGAGAAGAAAAAGGGAATACCAAACATGCCACTGTTTTGATGATTGCCTTTTTAGTGTGATGGGGGAGTGAGGCAGGCAGTCTGCCCATCCCCTGGGGTCTTTGGAAGGGGCAGTCCACAGATATGGGCAGTAGGGACCAGGGAAGGCACAGCACCCCCATGGCCACCAGACTGTGACCATAGTACAAGACTTGGGAGGGGCAGCGGAGCTGGGCAGATGGTGTCCGAGGCCCCCATTCACCAGGCCCCCCGACATTCAAGTATTCTTCAAGAACAATTATAGGCAAACAAGGGGAAAAATGTAGCATAAAAATAAAGAAGGTAATTTTTCAGAAAATATCAACTAAAAATTTTAAAAATTAGTATTTCTATTCTTAAACAAATTGAGATATAAGTAATGTGCAATAGGCAGTGCTACAACTACCGATTATATCTACACAGATATATTCCTCCGTTATACATCAACATCTTTCTAACTAGCATGTGAGAAAAATGTAACAATCCGGTTGATTTTGTAAATGTTCCACCAGTTCCCAAAAATAAAATTTACTCTTCCCATTTTTAGCTTTGCTGGGTAAGTTACAAATCTCATTTAATAGTTTAATATGAATTTTTGTTTGAAATGGCTATGCAGCAACTTGCCTAATCTGGCCACAGCACTGAACAGACAGGTGGCCAGGGCTGAATTATGAATTGTGCAAAACGTGTGCTTCACTGGGCACCTGTTATAAAGCTCTCTGTCACATCCCAGACCTGGCAAATGGGATGAACCAAATGATGGCTTCTGCGAGCATGGTAATATATAGTGCATCTCATTAGAGTATTATGATATATGGAGCACTGAACTTGTTCCCAATATATAAAACATTAAATTACAATGAATTCCACTAAAAAATAGAAAAAAAAATCAGCACTTCCCCTGAGTGGCTCAAGTTCCTGATTGTTTAATGTGAACGTTTCCTATGTATAAGCTGCAAAACAATAACTACAAGTCCTCTTACAGATGAAGACAGGAAACAATCAGCAAGAGATTCTATCACTTTCTGGTTTTATAGAATTTCTTGGTTACTGTCCTGGTGAGGAATAACAGAGTAATGATCATTGAATTACTTTGACCCACATCCATTTGAAACTACAGGCTATAAAACTGTGTCAGGCTGTGACGACTTTGCCATCTGTTCTAATCACTCGTGACAGAATTTTTTTAATGTAATTATAAAATTGTTACCCTAATGAATATTTCAATATTTTGTTATAAAATTTTTTCCAACAAAATATGATTTAAAATATAGCAACTCTGTAACATTCATAATTTCCTTACATTTGTTTGAGCCTTCATTTCTGAATCAGGTTTTGGTTTAGTAGACAGCAGAAAAATTAGGTTTCAGAATTTAAAAAAAAAAAAAAAACAAGAACAAACAATAGCCACAACAAAAATTTCCCATTACATCCTATAGGCTCTTCTTAGACTACTCCAATTATTGATCCCATCAAGCTTGGAACACAGCAACTCAACCCAGAAGGCCCCTCGCTGGTGCTCTGTGGAGGCTGACCTCAGCTCTGTGAGGGGAAAAGGGATCTCTGAAAAGGACACCTCTGGGTAGAAAAGGAAATGTCTGTCTCCCTCCAACGAAGTCTTTTCTTCTTTAGTTTCTTCCTAGAGAACCCTTGTAGGAGTGCTAATCTACTGGGAGTGGCTGCCAGGAACACAGTGTTGAGGATTCTGAAGATCTATCTTAGTTTGGAGGGAAAGAGGGCTGTAATTAATTACTCCTTTCCTCCTTTGTCATGAAATGCCAAGAATTTTCCAAATATAAGTTCTCTCCATCCTGTAATTTCTGATCTTTTTCCAGAATAGCTTTTCTGTCCTTTGATGACTTAACCATCTGAGGTGACACATTTTCATCTTAGCTGCTAAAATCACTTGTGAAAGAAGTTTATCCATTCCCTTAATCCTCACTCTTGAAGTTTTCTTTGGGGTTCATCACCGCCATAAAAAAGCTTCCCATTAATTGCTATGACCTTAAAAAGTGGGGTAAAATCTAGTAGTATCTCTTAATTAGGACAAATTTCATTAAAGCTGAGGGAATCCATCAACTGTTTAAAGAATGTAAGAAAGGGAAATATACATTATATTCACGTACTTATTTCAATCCTCATAATGATTCTTCAAAGAAGTTATTATCGTCATTTTACAGTTGAAGAAACAGAGGCTCAGAGATGTTGAGTAAATTCTTTAAGATGTCAAAGCTAAAATATGAGCATAAGTCTGTCAGTCCCCAAAATTGCACATGGTTGAGTGAGTTATATGCAAGATTTGGGGAATATTCTTGGCAGTCCTATAGCACATGGAAGCCAATTTATACTAGTACTAATTGTGGTAGTACACGTTTAATAGGACTCCTTTTACTTCTCCAGATGAACTAAATGCTTTCTCCTTAGGTCTTTTCACATTTCTCTTTTCACTCTTCACTGGCTAATCCCTACTGGCCCTTTACAACTCAGTTTAAGTCACCCTTCCTCTAGAAAGTTTTTCCCAAGTTTCCAAGAACGTGCCCCTCTAGAATCCAGTAGTTCTCTCCATCACTGTTTTGATAATTGCCTTTGTATTCTTCACCATACTATAAACTCCTTGAGGGCAAGTCTGTGTCTTCTTTGCCCTCGTATCTTCATCTAGAATGATGCTTAGCCCACAGTAGGCATTCAGTATTTGTTGGAGGTACTATAATTTAAAAAGCAGGTAAGACAGTGCGTTAATCTCAGTATCCCACTGTGCAAAATTAGTTCCATTTTTGCCATCGTTAATAATAAAGTGGTTAATGATTCCTGAAGATGAAAATGAAGGCGGCTGCATAGTTAATAATTTAATGAATGACCCAAACCTCTTTTCAGTATTTAGGGCTTTTGGGGGTTCTTACAGTTATCTAAAAGAAAGTAAGTATGGGTCAAGCTCATAAAGCCTTAGGAGAATTAATTGGTATCATGAGTCCCATAATATTATGGGAGCTAAGTATGATTATTGTCTGCCTAGCTCTAAAAGGACCCTTTAAATAAGAAAAGAGAAAGGCCTCTTTTCCTAGTCTCGTATTTCCATTTCCTCTAGTTCCAACTCTCTTCCAACACAATATCCAAGCCAGCTTCCTATTATGAGGAGTTGGGAGAAAGAGATGTAATCAATGTAATCATCTTGCAAATTCACTCACAATAAGCTCCACTATTCAGCAAAAATATAGTGCATGTTGTTTCTAACTGATATGATCTCTTTCATAATCTCCCATGTGCTAGGGAATGGTCTAATCCAGGAGTTCCCAACCCAGTACCAGTCCATGACCTGTTAGGAACTAGGTGGCCTAGCAGGAGGTGAGTGGTAGGCAAGCGAGCATTACCACCTGAGCTCCACCTCCTGTCAGATCAGCAGCGGAATTAGATTCTCATAGAAGCACGAACCCTATTGTGAACTGCACATGTGAGGGACCTAGGTTGCATGTTCCTTTTAAGAATCTAACTAATGCCTGATGATCTGAGGTGCAACAGTTTCATCTGGAAACCATCCCTTCCACTGCTGCAACTCACCGCCCCCCAGCTCTCTGACCTTGGAAAACTTGTCTTCCACAAAACTGGTCCCTGTTGCCAAAAAGTTTGGGGACCACTAGATTACACTGTAATCCCATTTGACATATCATCTAATCTAATAAATAAAACAATCCCTTATTAGGTACCATTTGTCTTTAGGGTAAAAGCACCATTTGGTGCTTGGTCTATTTTCATTCTTCCCTTCCCCTTGTTTACACATGCCAAGTTGGTATCTGGGTTCACTGTAGCTGTTAGGTGAATGAGTAAATGAATGACCTCACCCTCTTGTTGACCCCCAGGCCCTTGCAGGTTCCAGGCTGGCCTGGCATACATATTGGATGTGTTGACTGGTCCATCCATGAGCATTCTACTGGTATCCACTGCTGGTATTTGCAGCCGTAAATTTGCGGACTGTTCTTCCTTGACTTGGCCAGGACCTGGTGGAATATTACTGCTGACTCAGTGTATTAAGCACCTCTCTAGCTTCTGTAAACTTGATGTATTGACATCTGTCCTGTATGCATATTGCAGACACACCTTGTTCTGGACACCCTGATAATATGACTGAATCTCCCCGCCTTGGCCTCCCACTTCCCTCATTGCAGCCTCCCCACCTAGGGAGAAGGAATCTTCCTCCCACGGTGGGCAGAGTGGGAGGGAGGTGAGAATTCAAATAAAAAATGATCAAGCCAGAGTCCACACCAGCAACCACCTCCTTTATCAGGTTCTTGTACTCTGAGACACCACAAAACTTACCTAATCATCCCAGGGCCAGATACCAGACAACTAGGGACAGCTTCTATGCTCCAGAGCCTGACTAAATTATTCAAACCAGCCAGTCCTAAGCCTGCTTACCCTGCCTTGCTTGTTCCTTCCCAGAAACCACAATTCCCCCAGTTCCTCTCTCCCTTCCCTCCTGACCAAGCCCGTTGCTCACCAATGTGCCCCTACTAGAAGTACAGCATGCACACTTCTCTTGGGAACTTCATAAACTGTCTTTTCAATGACAACTGTCTCCTGATCTGTTGGCCTTACTATACCTTAAATGTTCTATTAGCACACTGCATTTTAAAACACTCAGCTTCCTTCCTCTCAGCTTTCAGTGGCTACAACCCCATTCTAAATCTCTCATGCATCCTTCATGTTGTCCCCTAGGTTTGGGTGCTCTACCCTCAGCTTCTGTCATGGGATCACCTTGACCCTACAAGTCTGTGGAGTTGCCCAAGGCAGGCTTTCTGACTCTCAATCAATCTCTATGCCATACCAGAATCTAGAGAGGCTCAGGAGCCAGACTCAGATACTCTGACCCCACCACTCTGTGAAGCTGCCAGTAGTTCTTGCCAGGCACCCTTCATGAGATCCAAACAAGGTGAGTATATCCCCTCTAACTTCAGTACTCCTCAGTTTTTTAAAAACATCATTTGTGCTTTGGGTCAAAGCCTGGAGCAAGGAGCTGTCTTCATTGTTTTATCTTCTTTCTATGTCTCCTTCTCACCATCCCTGAGGGCCAGGAGGGGAAGCCCTTCTCTTCCTACTTTCTCTTCCACTACTGTCCTAAATAACTCTATGTTCAAGTTCACCAAGCCTGGCTCTGGATATCTTAAAGAGGGAGATAGAAACTTAAATATATTTTATTTTTCCTCTCTCTCTTTCTTTCTCTCTCTCTCTCTCTCTGCCCCTCTCTCTACATCTAGCTTTCTCATGTATTGTACTATTCTCTCTTGCCAAGGCAGCATTAGCTTAGTGGCTTAGCCTAAAAATGGAAAGGAGTAAGAAAAAGATACTTTATGTAGGAGATTTATATTAATGATTTTAATATTTGCAAAATTATCCCTTTTATATCAGCTTGTGATTACAACTTTCTATCTTAACTCAAACATATATGTCCTGAAATCATTAACCCCTTTTATTTTTTCCTCAAGAGCTCAAAGCAGCAAATATTACTCTTCAGAAATGAAATTCCAGTCCCCTGTTAAGTATAAAAAGCTAACAAATAAATGCCCCAAGTTATGAAGAACTTATATCAGCTAAATGAAGAGTGGAAAATATTCTGTAAAAAGGGAGCATAGGTCATTAGTGGGTGGTTCTGTTGATTATAAAGAAAAGCCAGACACATTACTAGCATTACATGATCCTAGAGCAACTCCAATTTAGTTCCCAAGTTACAGGAGGAGCCCAGGAAAACTCCACTAATTCTAACTTATGCAATCCTCAAAAATAACATTAGTATTTTCTCCCACTTTATGGTTGAGCCACTGTAACAGTCAGGGAAGATAGTCTCAAAGGCCAGTATGGGAAAGTTATTATTTAAATGGCATCTTTAATTTTCTGAAAATCTAGGATATTCTTATTCCTCCCAAATATATTCAGATCTGTACTGAGAGCTTTTTCACACATTACAATCTAGTTATCACTTTCACATTTTTTTCTGCTAAGAATTGCCTAGAAAATAGATTAGCCAGACTGTAGGTGTGAAAACATAGAAAATGTGAGAAAAGTGAGATTTAATATTAAAGTCAGGCAGTGAAGTTTTTCCTCCGTTCTGTGAGACAGGGGGAGAGAGAGAGAGAGAGAGAGAGAGAGTGTGTGTGTGTGTGTGTGTGTGTATACGTGTGCAAGTGTGCCCCCTGCATACATGGGAGGCTACATATAGGCTAGAACCCTATATGTAGGTTCTCAGTCTTCCTTGACATGTGAGGAAAAACAATAGGGGTTTTCAATTTTAAAAAAAAGAAGAAGAAGAGGGTTTGCAATAAGAAGTTAGTCTGGATGCATAGCAAATATGCTGCAGTGAAATATCATGATATGTTAACAGGGTACATGATGGGAGTTAGCTGCAGATTGTGTTTCTATTGACTCTACTTTCCAAATTTTCTGCCATATTCTACTAAAGTGTGCATTTTTTGGCCAGGCGTGGTGGTTCATGGCTGTAATCCCAGCACTTTGGGAGGCCCAGGCAGGTGGATAACTTGAGGTCAGGAGTTCAAGACCAGCCTGGCCAAAATGATGAAATCCCATCTCTACTAAAAATACAAAAAAATTAGCCTGGGGTGGTGGCACAGAGCTGTAATCCCAGTGACTCGGGAGGCTGAGGCAGGAGAATAGCTTGAACCCAGGAGACAGAGGTTGCAGTGAGCCGAGATCATGCTGCTGCACTCCAGCCTGGGCAATAGAGCAAGACTCTATCCAAAAAAAAACAAAAACAAAAACAAAACCAAAATGATGTTTTTAAAAACCTCTTGGAGAAGTTTCAGAATGAAAGTTCCCACTGAAGTTTTCAAATACTGATTTAGTTTTTTTATCAAGCCAGTATGGGTAGAGCCAGTAAGGTTAAGGCTGTATTAGCTTTTTAGGATTAGTTTCTAAAAGCAAGATATGGAATTTTACTCACATCAAATAATAAACTTCAGGTTTGAAGCTCATGAGGAGTCATGAAATCAAGTTAAAGTGTCAGGACTAGTATTTTTTAAATAAATGAAATAGAATATCAAACATAGTCCTTTTAATAAAGGTATCATTTTGTATAAAATATGTGTGTATGCATATATGTGAATGTAAATGTACATGAATATTCATTTATATATTTCACGGGTTGAGAAGTCAAATATATTTCTTACTCTGGTTTTCATATGTCTTTCAAAAAAATTTGGAAAATGTTATCCTAAAATATCTGTCATAAGACTTTATCTATAGCAAATACAGCAGACACATACATGCACATGCCTGCAACTAAGTAAAACTGTCTACCTCCTTAGATTTTTCTCTGGAGAAGATGGCATTTTAGTTAACAAAGCACTTCATCACACCATTTGCTTAGAGAAATATGAGCTTCTGAAAAGTTGGAAACAAGAATGAAATTCCTCTGCATAATGAAGAAGACGTTTGGAATTCCCAGGTCCCAACACTAAACTGGAAGGAGGGATTTCAAAGAAAGGGGGAGGGAGATGGGGGAAGAGTAACGTGGTAGCAAGGAGGAATCTACAGAGAAAGGCTACTAATAACAGAAAATGAGTAAGCAAAGGACGGTGTATTTCATGCTCACATTCAAAATTAACTTCTCTATGGTCATATGCTCTGACATGTTTTTCATTGGTGTAACTGCCTCTGTGACTCCAAAACCATCAGTAAAGTCAGCTCCGGACACGGCCTTGAGTAGACAGTATTTTCAAGTTTAAAGAACTAACTTAGGAATAGGCATGAGGCATCCTTTTCCCAATATCTAGAGGGCCTGATTCTTGGGTTTCATAGTCATGCAAATTATTTGTTGAGTGGAAAAGAAAATAAGAAAGAAAGTAATTGTTCCAGCATTCTGTGATCTGGCACCCCAGCTGGAGTGGCCAGTGTCTATGACTCCACCAGTAGTGAAATCCAGAGGTATCTTTCCTGGCCTCTGACTGCTACTTGGGGGAAACCTTTTCAAGATAACTTGCAGCACAGATTCAAAACACAAAAGCCATAATCTAATAACACACGAATTACTTCTAGCCAACTGCCTCCTTTTCCATCCAGCCTCCTGACCCATTCTGAAGAGTGCAGAGCCCTCTGTACACCCCATGAGATGCTAGGTGCTCCATAAGGCTAATTCTCATTCTGAGATATGGCTCGGGTTGGCCCCTTCTTTCAGTGAAGAACGGCAGTGAAAGCACAACACCTTTTGCATTTACACACAGATACAACCTGATGTATAATGAGAAATAATAGAATCATAAATGCCAACTCTATTTTTAAAATCCTAACTTATTCAACCAGCACATAAAAGAACATGAATAGCAAACTTTCCATTATTTGGAAACTTCATTTTCAGCAGCTGCCACTCTTTCTCCAACCTTCCCCTCGACTTCAACCCTACAAACTCTACCAGTTACAAGTAGCAACATAAAAATAAATTGGTTTCATCTCCTTTTACTTCCAGTTCCATCATGTGAAGAAAATGAGGGAAAGATGCAAAATAGTCGGAAGGCAAAAGAATAAAAATTAGAGAGAAAAGTGCCGAGGACTTAAATATTCAAACTGCAAGATCAATCCTAGAGTAATCAGGAATTTAATGTGACTTTCACAGTCTGGAAAGCAAGCTAAAATAAATGTAGGGGCAAGTAAATCCAAGTTAAGTTGGTTTTTATGCTTGAAAGTGAAGTGCACTATTGTGTTCAAAGACTGCTAAATGATGCAGTAGATATAAACAAGGCAGTTCCCATCCCCAAGGAGTACTAGAGCACATGATGGCATGAGACATGAACATGAAAATATAATAAACAATGCTAAAAAAAACAGTTATCAAGGATATTTTTCAGATAAGCATTTTTAAACTTCAGAGGGAGTAGGAGGCTTTACAGAGAAAATAGAATCTGATCTGGTAAGTGAAACATGAATAGACAAGTTTTCAAATCTTTTGAGATGCCACCTAAATTTCTGCTGGATGCCTGATACATATATGGTCACGCGGCTCTCATGACACTGTACTGACATCCCACATGATCCTTTCACTTTGCTCTAAACCTCCCATCCCATCCCTTAACTGGTGAATATCAGTTTGATCTGTTACGGTATTCCTTTCCAACCATTGTACAAATGAGAGAAGATGAAAGACAGGAGCAAAATTCAACAGTAGTGGAGAGTTAAACATGAGCTAGTCTGTAAACGAGAGGTAAATGAGAGGGACATAGATGTTGGATGAGGGTCTGATAGAAGACAGAACCAGAGGAGAAAGTGACTCTCGGCTGCTGGGGCTGCTGATGAACACAGAGCTGTTGGCAGCTAGAAGCAAGAGCAGTGTCACACTGCTGCCTGCACTGCATTAGGTTACTTTACAATCCACCTTCCATGGAGGTGAAGGACTTTGTGCCTGAAGCTAAGGTCAGGGGTCCTAGAGACAAAAGTGGTCCTGAATCCCTCCTCTGCCATTTGCTAAATGAAGCTGTATTAGGCCATTCTTGTGTTGCTACAAAGAAACACCTAAAACTGGGTAATTTATAAAGAAACAAGGTTTAATTGGCTCATGGTTCTGTGGGCTGTACAGGAAGCATGGTGCCAGCATCTGCTTCTAGTGAGGGCCTAAGGGAACTTACAATCGTGGTGGAAGGCAAAGGGAGCCAGTGCATCACGTGGCAAGAGCAGGAGCATGAGAGCAAGGGGGCAGGTGCCACACACTTTTAAACAACCAGATCCTGCGTGAACTCAGAGCAAGAGCTCACTTATCACCAAGGGGATGGTGCTAAACCATTCCTGAGGGATCCACCACATGATCCAATCACCTCCCACCAGGCCCTGCCTCCAACAGTGGTAATCACATTTCATCATGAGATTTGGAAGAAATGAATTCAAAACCATGTCAAAAGCCATAGCTAGCTCTGCATTTGCTTCAGATTCAGAGTCTAATCTCCAAGGCTTGCTGACCTTCTCCTTCTCATTGTTGCTTCCCCTTCCTGTCTCTTAATTGTTCCCTTCCTCTGTTATCCAGTCATTTGGTCCAATAGTGCAACAGCTGGAATATCCCCTCCAAAACGCATGTTGAAACTTAAGCCCCAATGTGGCAGTACTGAGAGGTAGGGACCTTTAAGTGGTGATTGGATCATGACTCTTCTACCCTTATTAACGGGTTGGTGGATTAATGGGTTATCATGGGAGTGGAACTGGTGGTTTTATAAGATGAAGAAGACAGATGTGAGCTAGCATGTTAGCATGCTCAGCCCTCTCACCATGTGATACCCTGTGCCACCTCAGGACACCGCAACTTCCCACCAGCTGGAAGGTTCTCACCAGATGTGCCTCCTCAACCTTGGACTTCCCAGCCTCTTTATCTGCAAGAAATAAATTCCTTTTCTTTATAAATTACACAGTTTCAGGTATTCTGTCATAAGCAACAGAAAACAGACTGAGACAACTATCCTCTCTCCAACTTGACTTTATTGAAGACACTACTGTGGTGCCTTTATGTCCCCTCCCCAGAGAACTGTAGGCTGAAAACTGGAAGCAGAATCACAGAATTTGATTGAAGAAATGGACCTTAGTGATCATCTGGTACACAACCTTAGTCTACAAACAAGGAATTCAAGGCTGTAAGAGGTCAAACATCTGCCCAAAGTCACCCAAGTACAGAACTACCAGCTCCCAGCCCAGTGTTCTCTCACGGTATCACTCATCCCCCACGTCATGTGAAGCACATTGCAGAATTCAAGCTCAAACTGAGCCAGGAAGGAAGACAAAATCCAAATCCAAGAGGAGAGTAGGGGCTGATCTCATCTCCCAGAGAGGTCTGTCTGCTCTCCCCATCCAAGAGTGTAATACTGTGCTTAATAAACTTTCGCAGCTTTGCTTTGTTAAGAAAAAACAAAGGACGGTAGGGTCATTTCTAAAAGCAGAATGCTAATTATGAGAACATGAAGTGTTGATTTTAACACAGTAGAATGCTCAGGATTTGCATCAACACGGGAAGCGGAATGACGGGCGCGAGTCTCTCCGCCACATAAAACGGGCACAGAGCGCCATCTGCTGGATGTCTGGACTTCAGGCCACCTGCCACAATTGAGAATGACGGATATGTTTAAGCTTATTTCTTGTTGGGCATATCCCAAACACACACACAAATTTACTACATTGTTTATCTTGCTTTTTTCCTTTTTAATATAGCATAATGATATTTCTTTATTAATAATATATATTTCATCATTCCTTTTTAAATCTAAGCTTCTAAAATAATTGTATTATGAAAATGTCCCAGTATACACAAAAGCAGCGAGAATGGTACAATAAAACCCTCACTTAGCCTTCTGTCATATTTTTAAATTGTCAGAATTTTGTCACATTTGCTTCTCTATCTCCTCTTTTTTCTTCCTTGAATAATTAAGACAAATCCCAAGTATCATATATGCCTTCAATCTTTAGTATGAATCTCTCTTAAAAATAGACACTTCTTTTATAAACACAATATCATTATTACAGCTAACAATTCAATAACAATTATGTGTTATTATCTAATGCCTAGTCAATAATCATATTTCCCTGGATGTCTCCAAATATTTTGTATCATCGATTTGTTCAAATCAATATCAAAACAAATTGATTCAATTAAATGTAATTTAAAATTCATGAATTCAATTTAAAATCTAATTCCATTTTAAATCCATGAATTCATATGCATCTAATGGAAAAAGAGAAAGCCTACCAACAGAAACAATAAAGGGAGGGAAAGAAGGAAACAACATTTTTACCATATATTAAAGTAACTAGCCCACAAACACCTTAATCTGAAATTTGGCAACTAAAAGAAAACAGTTAAAAATATATTCTGCCTTTGATGAATAAACCATACTTCATTGTAAAAATAGCCCTATTTCATGAGAGGCGTTGTTTTTATACAGAAGAATTCCACCTAAGTGAAAGGAATGATAAGGTTAAAACATCTCCATTTTGCAACTCCTACTAAACCCAAAAAGGTGACGATCTTCAATGAATGGAACTCTTTTAGATAAAAGCTGATGAGGAACTTGACAGAAGAGGGCTCATCCTGTCATCACGTGCTCCCACTTGAACATGTGATACAAAACCAACATCACTAAAGGTTTGTCTGTGTGATTCCTGTCTTGAGGTTATGTGCTATAGTCTATCTTAGCTCTTTCAGGAGATTTTCAATTTTATGCCTATACTTCTATTTCTTATTATATAACATTATAAAGTTTCTGTTGACTCCCTACTATAAATTATTCCTCTTAATGGGGTATTTCCTTCCCATGTCTATCTCCTGCTTTGGCTAATTGTCATTTTCATTCTTCCAGTGAATACCTTGATGACATTAAGTAAAATGCTAAACTTTTTTTTGTAGGTAGTATCTACTGAACTCATCTAAGACCAAGAAATTAGCATAGTCACTTTTCATCTTCCTCTCATTGGGTGTATGTTGTCTTTTTTAAAGTTTTTACTTTTGCTTATTAATTTTCACAATATTTAACTTTTGCAATTGTATCTCTCACCATTGTTTAGCCTACATTTAAATGAATTCAACATATGTGAGCAATCCTTTTAACATTCTTCATTTATTGGGTGTCCTATTCTTGAGAAAAACTCAACTGATTTTCACCTTCATAAGTTGCTTAATTTGTCTAAATGCCTGAAAATGCTTTATTTATCCTTGAAATTCAATACCTTAATAAGGATATGTCTCCTTATTGATTTTCCTCAATCCATTTTTCCAAGCATAGGTTTGCATTTCCAGATTAAATTATTCAATTGTTCAAATTATCTTCTATGTCATCTTTGAACATACTGTCTGTTAGATTTGTTGGGGTTTTTAATTCAATGTTTGTTTGGCCTTGTCTACCACTCATATCTATTATTTTCTCAATCAGTGTCTTAATCTCTTTGTCTTTTTCCCTCTACATTCACTGCAATTGTCTTAAACCTTTCTTCTGGGTCATTCATCCAATTTTTAGCTATGCCTGTTCAGTTTCTTGCTCTTTTACTTCATTTTATTTATTAATTCAGCAATGGTATTAAATTGTTAGTACTTGATCTGTTTCCTTAGCTCAGCAAATCTCTTTTTTTCTCACAACTGCTGTTTTAGTATCTCATCTTTAAATTATTGTTCAATAACATGTTTGTATTTAGTAAGCTCTTCCATAGAGTAAAACATCCTTAGGAACATTTGTTCCTGAGTGTTCACTTCTGGATAGACTTTTCATCTGTGTTTTGCATTTGATATTTCAATACTTACTTGGTGAGGGGGATAAAGGGGCTGTTCTGCAGTATATTTGCATAGAAGCCAGGCATGATATTTTATCATCTTGCTTTTGAATAGGGAAGACAGCTTGGATTTAGTGTAGGTAATTCCTTGTGATTCCTTTCCACTTTTCTGATATCTGTGTGTTTTGTCCTGTAACTATTGTAGAGTTGGAGATCCTAAAGCTGAGAACTTGGATAAGGGAAAAGAATCACGGCTGTTGGCAGCTCTATTGCCATGCTGGCCTTTACCCTCTCCTCTGTTGCCTGGCCTAACATCTGTGTCCACAATTCCACCATTCTGTTTTACTGTATCTTCAGATGTACTTGGACTTCAGATGTTTACCCAAATGCACTATGAGGCCTGAACCAGGGAGTCAGCCATTCCCACTTCATCTCTCCCCGTCCAGGAGCTGCTGTGACTCCCCAAAGCAGAAAGTGCATAATATAGAACATGAAATGTGTTTCCAAGGTAGAAACATTTTACTTGACTCTCAGGGAGTCTTTTCCCCATCTCCTACATCCTCAGAAACCGAGTTATAACTTATATTTATTTGGTCTCTATTTGGCTAAATTTTAAATTTTTTATAATAAAAAATTAACACATTCAAAGATAGAGAAACTAGTATAAATAACCCCATGTACCTATCACCTGACTTTAGTAATTACTAATAAACACACGGCTGTTCTTTCTTCATCTATGTCCCCGTCTACCCACTCACTCCCACCCTCACCCCCGCCCCATCCCTCACACCAAGAAATAAAGTTAATCTCGACCTCAGATCATTTCATTTTTCAATCCATTGTTTATGATCCTGACATTCTTCTCCTGTCCAGCCAGTATGGTCTCCAATATGGTGAACTCAAGTGGCTATTGTCTCTCTAGTGGGTCATGGAAATGATTGAAAGGAATTCTGCCTTTGTGGAACGTTTTGCTTCCTTTGTGGAAGAAGGGCTTCTACACACTCCCTTCTGCCTGTTTTCAAGCTAGGGGTGTTAGTGAGGCTCTAGAATTTTGTTCATTTTTTTTCCTTATAATGTTTGGAGAAAGATGAGTTGGAAACTTCATGGAAGATTGCTAATTCTCAGAAACTCTGATCTTACTCTTTCACAGCCACCAGCCAGTTCCTCCTTTTTCCTGCCATTTGGTAAGGTTGCCAGATAAAATACAGGACACTCGTGCAATATTTGGGAAATAATTTTACCCCCAAAGTTGTCATTTGTCTGAAATTCATATTTTACTGGGCATTCTGTATTTTTATTTGCTAAATCTGGAAACCTTAGTTATTGGGGTGATTTTTCTGGTTTCATTTTTGTGTGTTTGCTTGGTTGATGGGTTGATGTACTTATGTATTATTTCAGTGGCTGAGTTTGCTGAAAGGAAGATTTTTGTGGTCAAGTTTTACTCTGCCATCTTAAACTAGAAAGTCTAACATTTCCTTAAACATTAAAATTACTCATTCAATATTTATATATGTGGAATTTCATTCCTTGCTTAATATGTCAAATACGCTTAGAAGAAGCATTTGCATAACTTTTGGGTATTTTTCTCTTTGCTAGAAATTTAATCAACGTTTAGGTATATCAAGCAAATCTAAATAAATAATGTCTCAGCTTGTAGCCAATGCATCAGCAACATAGTAGACAATTTTTAAGAATTTTGTTTCTATTTTTATTATTTTTGGTCAAATACATTCTTAAAGTTCCTCACCACCTAAAGTTTCATTTAGTCTAGGAGTCCCTTCCCATAGAATTCTCCAATTTGAGCTCAGAAATTTCTTCCTGTTACAGAGTGAGATCTTGACTAATAAATAATTATGGAAAGAGTAGTGGCAACGCTTCTTTGGGGCTGTTTATCTCAGTGTACATGGACTGCTAATGGACAAAGAACTCCCTATATGGTGTTGTACACTCTTTATTGTGTGTTGTAGAAGTTGTTAGTAGTCTTAGGTGGGCATTTAAACTAAATTGGCCCAATTAGACTGACAAGAAGAATTTTTATTCAGTGGTGGTCAATGATTTCCTCTCTTTCCTGCTATGTGAACTGGAGAGCCTTACTACCAACAGGCACCTTACAATCTGAAGAAAAGTCATTCTAAGGACAAAACAAGAGGAGAAAGAGCAGAAAGAACTACCATGAGACACAGCCAGAGGCCAGGTCAGCCAGCATGTGGGGCTTGTCTCTGAACTTCATGTTATGTAGATGAACAATTTCCTGAGAGTTTAAGCTTCCTTTGCCTTATGGTTTCTGCTACCTTTAGGCAGAGCATTCTATCTGATATAATTCCTCTTACATTTCTCCTCAAAATGTGACTTTATGTAACTTCCACTTGCGCAGTGGGCCACCACCAAGAACTCCATTGGGACGGGTGTGGCCCGGGAAAGCCCATCTGCAGGCTGCTCACAATCCTAAAAAGCTGGCATATCACCCACTGCACACCTCACCACCTCTCACCTCTGGCAGGAGACTTAGCTACATCCACAAAGTCCTATAAGCTGCCTCAGCCTCATTGTTCTCTGTCTGGGCACAACTGTCCTGGCTGTCTGGAAGAATGACAACCCCAACGTGGAAAATTCCTCACCCTGGAAAATTCACCTGCAATTTCTGGACTAAAGAGGCCTGCTGAGAGTCAGTCTCCAGTTGATCAAGGAAGTCTCACGGCTAGAATGTCCCCATTTGTTATCAAATGTAGCCGTCGTTTATGTAAGTACATTTTAATTTCTTGCAACCTTACTATGGTTGCTACTACTATTACTACTGATAATAATAACCTCTGTAATACAAAGAGCCAAGGCTTATCTTTACAGATGATAAATAAGAGGTGAAGATGCAGAGTCACACAAGTGGTGTTGAGAGGGTCTGTCTCAATCATATCAAAACCAAAGGCAAATCGTTTCATAAATACTGGAAAACATGGGGAAGGTTGCCTTTCCATCCCTGCAGTGGTGATCTCTCTACCTGACTTGTCAAGCCTTAGATCCCATTTCTTGCCCCTGCAGACAACCTGGCAGAGTGCCTTCTTGTCTACATGAAGGGTAAAATTCCCAGGAAAATGCTTTCATTTATCCAAAGTGTTAGAGCTGTCCAAAGCCTTACTTTGATATTTATATTCTGCTTAATTCATTAGCTAACCTCCAGCCTTCTTATCATGCCCCTTCATTCACCGACAGGTAGACAATGCCTGACCTACTTTGAGAGTCACATTCATCAGCCTTTTATATCCTCACTGACTGCAGAACTCTCATCAGGTCACCCACTAAGAAGGTCTTGCTATTAATAATAATTCATTCACTCAGCAAAACTGTTGAACAATTACTCTGTGCCTGGCAGGGTACCAGATACTGGAGTTACAAAATTAAACAAGGCATAGAATCTGCCCAGATGGAACATACATTCTTGAGAAAGCAAAAGGATAAAGGATAATTTAAAAGGCAATTACAACACAAGGTCAAAAGCATCCAGCCTTGCCTAAGAGAAAGAATAACTCTGTTACTTTTAAAACAAAGACAACACTGCTTAAACTAACATAAGACCTCACATACTCAGGCCCCAATCCCTACCTCTCCAGCTTCATTCCATACTGCAGCCAGCCCTCTTCAATTTCTCCATTTCAGTCTTGAATGGGTCCTACATTAGTGTCACCATCCCTCACCCCACAAACCCTTTGTACATAGGCCTGAAACCCTCTCTGCCTAGCCAACCTCTGTGCTTCCTTCAGAACTCAACAAAGGGATGCTTCCTTAAAGAAGATTTTCCTGGCTTCTACTTCATAATTTTAGTTGAGTAAAATTTTTTTGAGTGATTAGTTTTCTGTATCCTCCACTAAACTGTAAGCTCCAGGGATTAAATTTGTTTTTGCCTTTTGTTTTGTTTATTCCCTGTATTTAACCCAGTTTCCTTGTAGACAAAGTAGACAACTGATAAATATATATTGAATAAGTAAGATAATGAATTAATGGCAGATAGCTGATATCAAGTTGAAATCTGAAGGACCATAGGATATAGAACAGCAAAAAGAGGGGATGGGCAATCCTTCATTGTTGCATTGACCTCTTCTTTCTTTGCTAACTTTCTCACTTTAGCTGAGCAGAATTTGAAGAGGTAGCTTTCTTCAACCCAAACTTATAGAAGCCATCTGGGAAAAAAATGTTGAAGTTATACTGTCAGACCTGACCAAGACATGCTAACCAATAGCTGCAAAGTTTGGGGGGAAGAGGAGATGAATCCTTGCTAATAGTTGTAGCATTTCCCCTTTGTGCTGGTAGAAAGTCAGAACATGTCAACTCTGATCATTCTGATCATGCTTGGTTTGCATTTTTTAAAGTAAAACACTATCAGCTGCTTCTTAAAGTTTTTATCTCCAGTCTCTTTGGGAACATAATTTTGTTCACAGACTGCATCAGTGATGAATTTTGTGTGGCACATCCTGGAATCGTGGTTTATGGACAAAGAAAGTATGTTACTAAAGGCTCAAAGAAAAACCTGCACAGAATATCTCACGCTTCAGTCAGCTCATCTTTCTCCCAGTTATAGAAAAGTGAATGTTCCCTCCCTGTAAAAAAGCATACTACAAGCACTAAGACATCTCACTTTTGACATATAAATTTTGATACAGAGCCACCTCTCCACAACCACATTTTCTCCCCAAGACCTGCAAAACTAACAATCCAACTGTCACAATTGTGAGAAAGGATGAATTGATGTTGTAGGCCACTAGGTTTCAAGGTGGTTTGTTATATACAGCAATAGATGACTGACAAAAATGTTTGTTTGCTTGCTTGCTTTTCAAATTTCATTACATTTGTTAGAACCTCCAGAGCAATGTGAATGGTGACAGCAAGCAATTGGCAGTGTCCATCAGATTCTGAAATGTGTAAATTCTTAGACCCAGAAACCTGGAATCTATTTTACAAAAATACTTGCACATACGTATAAAGAGATGAGCATGAATATTTCTTCTTCATGATTTATGTAAATAAATAACTGGAAACAACCTAAATGATTAGTATGAGGAGATTGGCTAAATTATATACATATATGTATATTATACTTTATACTTATTGATGAAATATTAGAAATATTATCATTGAAGTCAAGAGGGAAAATGTGCCTGCTATCACCATTTAATATTACTTTAAAGATTCTAGCCAATGTAGTAACATTAAATAAATAAATTATATTTATAAACAACAAAAGGATAAGGCAAAACTGTCATTATTGCAAATGATATAATATTAAGAAAATCCAATGCAATCAACTGAAAAACTATTAGAAATGATAACGCATTTCAAAAGAATGGAAATCATAATGAACAGTCTCTCAGACCACAGCGCAAGCAAATTAAAACTCAGGAATAAGAAACTTACTCAAAATCTCACAACTACATGGAAACTGAACAACCTGCTCGACTATTGGGTACATAAGTAAATTAAGGCAGAAATAAACAAGTTCTTTGAAACCAATGAGAACAAAGACACAATGTATCAGAATCTCTGGGACACAGCTAAAGCAGTGTGTAGAGGGAAATTTATAGCACTAAATGCCAGCAGGAGAAAGTGGGAAAGATCTAAAATCAACACCCTAACATCACAATTAAAAGAACTAGAGAAGCAAGAGTAAACAAATTCAAAAGCTAGCAGAAGACAAGAAACAACTAAGATCAGAGAAGGAAGGAAGGAGATAGAGACATGAAAAACCTGTCAAAAAATCAATGAATCCAGGAGCTGGTTTTTTGAAAAAGTTAACAAAATAGATCGAATGCTAGTCCTGAATGGTATTGCCTAGGTTTTCTTCTAGGGTTTTTATGGTTTTAGGTCTTATGTTTAAGTCTTTAATCCATCTTTGAGTTAATTTTTGTATAAGGTGTAAGGAAGGGGTCCAGTTTCAGTTTTCTGCATATGGCTAGCCAGTTTTCCCAACACCATTTATTAAATAGGGAATCCTTTCCCCATTGCTTGTTTTTGTCAGGTTTGTCATAGATCAGATGGTTGTAGATGTGTGGTGTTATTTCTGAGGCCTCTGTTCTGTTCCATTGGTCTATATCTCTGTTTTGGTACCAGTACCATGGTGTTTTGGTTACTGTAGCCTTGTAGCATAGTTTAAAGTCAGGCTGCATGATGCCTCCAGCTTTTGTCTTTTTGCTTAGGATTGTCTTGGCTATGTGGGCTCTTTTTTGGTTCCATATGAAATTTAAAGTAGTTTTTTCTAATTCTCTGAAGAAACTCAATAGTAGCTTGACGGGAATATCATTGAATCTGTAAATTACTTTGGAGAGTATGGCCATTTTCACAATATTGATTGTTCCTATCCATGAGCATGGAATGTTTTTCCATTTGTTTGTGTCCTCTCATTTACTTGAGCAGTGGTTTGTAGTTCTCCTTGAAGAGGTCCTTCACATCCCTTGTAAGTTGGACTCCTAGGTATTTTATTCTCTTTGTATCAATTGTAAATGAAAGTTTACCCACGATTTGGCTCTCTATTATTGCTGTATAGGAATGCTTCTGATTTTTGCACATGATTTTGTATCCTGAGACTTTGCTGAAGTTGCTTATCAGCTTAAGGAGATTTGGGGCTGAGATGATTGGTTTTACTAAATATATAATCATGTCATCTGCAAACAGAGACAATTTGACTTCCTCTCTTCCTATTTGAATATCCTTTATTTCTTTCTCTTGTCTGATTTATTTGGCCAGAACTTCCAATACTACATTGAATAAGAGTGTTGAGAGAGGGCCTCCTTGTCTTGTGCCAGTTTTCAAAGGGAATGCTTCCAGCTTTTCGCCTTTCAGTATGATATGGATGTGGATTTTGATATGGGCTGTGGATTTTGAGCTATATTCCATCAATACCTAGTTTATTGAGAGTTTTTAGCATGAAGGGGTGTTGAATTTTATCGAAGGCCTTTCTGAGTCTATTGAGATAATCATGTGGTTTTTGTCATTGGTTCTGTTTATGAGATGGATTACATGTATTGATTTGTGTACTTTGAACCAGCTTTGCATCCCAGGGATGAAGCTGACTTGATCGTGGTGTATAAGCTTTTTGATGTACTACTGGATTTGGTTTGCCAGTATTTTATTGAGGATTTTTGCATCGATGTTCATCAGGGATATTGACCTGAAATTTTCTTTTTTTGTTGTGTCTCTGCCAGGTTTTGGTATCAGGATGATGCTGACCTCATAAAATGAGTTATGGATGAGTCCCTCTTTTTCTATTGTTTGGAATAGTTTCAGAAGAAATGATACCAACTCCTCTTTGTACCTCTGGTAGAATTCGGCCGTGAATCCATCTGGTCCTGGGCTTTTTTTGGTTGGTAGGCTATTAATTACTGCCTCAATTTCAGAACTTGTTATTGGTCTATTCAGGGATTCGATTTCTTCCTAGTTTAGTCTTGGGAGGGTGTATGTGTCCAGGTATATGTCCATTTCTTCTAGATTTTCTAGTTCATTTGCTTAGAGGTGTTTGTAGTATTCTCTGATGGTAGTTTGCATTTCTGTGGGATCAGTGGTGATATTCCCTTTATCATTTTTTATTGTGTCTATTTTATTCTTCTCTCTTTTCTTATTTATTACTCAGGCTAGTGGTCTATCTATTTTGTTATTCTTGTGAAAAAAAAACAGCTCCTGGATTCATTGATTTTTTGAAGGGTTTTTCATGTTTCTATCTCCTTCTGGTCTGCTCTGATCTTAGTTATTTCTTGTCTTCTGCTAGCTTTTGAATTTGTTTGCCCCTGCTTCTCTAGTTCTTTTAATTGTGATATTAGAATGTTGATTTTAGATCTTTCCCACTTTCTCCTGTGGGCATTTAGTGCTGTAAATTTCCCTCTACACATTGCTTTAGCTGTGTCCCAGAGATTCTGGTACATTGTGTCTTTGTTCTCATTGGTTTCAAAGAACATCTTTATTTCTGCCTTAATTTTCTTATTTACCCAATAGTCATTCAGGAGCAGGTTGTTCAGTTTCCATGTAGTTATGCAGTTTTCAGTGAGTTTCTTAATCCTGAGTTCTAATTTGTTTGTACTGTGGTCTGAGAGACTGTTATGATTTCCATTCTTTTGCATTTGTTGAGGGGTGTTTTACGTCCAATTATGTGGTCAATTTTAGAATAAGTGGTATGTGGTGCTGAGAAGAATGTATATTCTGTTGATTTGGGGTGGAGAGTTCTGTAGATGTCTCTTAGGTCTGCTTGGTCCAGAACTGAGTTCAAGTCCTGAATATCCTTTTTAATTTTCTGTCTCGTTGATCTGTCTAATACTGACAATGTGGTGTTAAAGTCTCCCACTATTATTGTGTGGAGTCTAAGTCTCTTTGCAGGTCTCTAAGAACTTCCTTTGTGAATCTGGGTGCTCTTGTATTGGGTGCATACATATTTAGGATAATTAGCTCTGCTTGTTGCATTGATTCCTTTACTATTATGTAACATACTTCTTTGTCTTTTTTGATTTTTGTTGGTTTAAAGTCTGTTTTATCAGAGACTAGGATTGCAACCCCGCTTTTTTGTTTTTGTTTTGTTTGGTTTTTGGTTTATGTTGTTATTTGTTTGTTTGTTTCTTTGTTTTTTTTTTTTTTTTACTTTCTATTTTCTTAGTGAATACTTCTCCATCCCTTTATTTTGAGCCTATTTGTGTCTCTGCACATGAGATGGGTTTCCTGAATACAGCACACCGATGGGTCTTGACACTTTATCCAATTTGCCAGTCTGTGTCTTTTAATTAGGGCATTTAGCCCATTTACATTTAAGGTTAATATTGTTATGTGTGAATTTGATCCTGTCATCATGATGCTAGCTGGTTATTTTGCACATTAATTGATGCAGTTTCTTCATAGTGTCATCAGTCTTTATATTTTGGTGTGTTTTTGCAGCAGCTGGTACCAGTTTTTCCTTTCCCTGTTTAGTGCTTCCTTCAGGAGCTCTTGTAAGGCAGTCCTCGTACTGACAAAAATCCCTCAGCATTTGCTTGTCTGTAAAGGGTTTTATTTCTCCTTCACTTACGAAGCTTAGTTTGGCTGGATATGAAGTTCTGGGTTGAAAATTCTTTCCTTTAAGAATGTTGAATATTGGCCCCCTCTCTCTTCTGGCTTGTAGGGTTTCTACAGAGAGATCCACTGTTAGTCTGATGGGCTTCCCTTTGTGGGTAACCTGACCTTTCTCTATGGCTGCCCTTAACATTTTTTCTTCATTTCAACCTTGGTGAATCTGATGATTACGTGTCTTGGGGTTGCTCTTCTTGAGGAGTATCTTAGTGGTGTTCTCCGTATCTCCTGAATTTGAATGTTGGCCTGTCTTGCTAGATTGGGGAAGTTCTCCTGGATAATATCCTAAAGTGTGTTTTCCAACTTGGTTCCATTCTCCCCGTCACTTTCAGGTACACCAATCGATCATGGGTTTAGTTTTTTCACATTGTCCTGTATTTCTTGGAGGCTTTGTTTGTTCCTTTTCATTCTTTTTTCTCTGATCTTGTCTTCACAGTTTATTTCATTAAGTTGATCTTCAGTCTCTGATATCCTTTCTTCTGCTTGATCAATTTGGCTATTGATGCTTGTGTATGCCTCACGAAGTCTTGTGCTGTGTTTTTCAGCTCCATCAGGTCATTTATGTTCTTCTCTAAACTGGTTATTCTAGTTAGCAGTTCCTGTAACCTTTTATCAACGTTCTTAGCTTCCCTGCATTCGGTTAGAACATGCTCCTTTAGCTCAGAGGAATTTGTTATTACCCACCTTCTGAAGCCTACTTCTGTCAATTCGTCAAACTCATTCTCCAGTTTTGTTCCCTTGCTGGCGAGGAGTTGTGATCCTTTGGAGGAGAAGAGGCATTCTGGTTTTTGGAATTTTCAGCATTTTTGCACTGGTTATTCCTCATTTTAGTGGATTTATCTACCTTTGATCTTTGATGCTGATGACCTTTGGATGGGGTTTTTCTGTGGGTGTCTTTATTGTTGATGTTGATGTTATTGCTTTCTGTTGTTAGTTTTCCTTCTAACAGTCAGGCCCCTCTTTTGCAGATCTGCTGGAGTTTGTTGGTGGTCCACTCCAGACCCTGTTTGCCTGGGTGTCACCAGCAGATGCTGCAGAACAGCAAGGATCGCTGCCTGCTCCTTCCTCTGGAAGCTTCGTCCCAGAGGGGCTGACTGGAACTCTTCCTATTCAGCCATCTTCCTGAATGCCAACAGAGGTCTTTTATTACTTCCAGATGCCATAAGAAGAGTGCTACATGCCTCACAGGGCCAACGTGAAGTGGGGATCCATCTGGGACATGAGCACACTTTCAGTGGTAGCAGGAGGCAGCGGGGTGTGAGAGGGAGTAGACTGATGATTACCAGAGGCTGGGAGGGGTAATGGGGAGTCTCATTTAGAATTTCTAGTTAAACCCCCCTCGCAGAGCTTGGTGTCCCTCTGCAGAACCTCCACTAAGTGATTGTCCAACCTCTAAACTCCCTTTAGAGCAAAGAACATCTACTGCCTTCCAGAGCAGTTGAGTGAAGGTGTATCTTCACACAGCTCAATATTAGATCAACCTTTACATTAAGTTGAAACCCCTTTTGTTATAAGCTTCTTCCTGGAAGAATAAGTGTCATGGGTCTTCAATATGTGAGTCTATGATATTAACGAAGAGACCCAATATGTCCACTAAATGTTTTCGTGCCCCAAGCCATTATTTCAGCTTAACTTTTCATGACATGCTTGAGTCCCTTCATCCTGCTGGTTGCTTCTCTCACTATCCCTTTTAAAATGTGACAACCATAATGGAATACAATAAGCTAGAAATAGCCAAGCAGACATGACTAACACTTACAAATGTAACTCCACATTGCAACGACTTTTTTACGTATCCAGATTATACCGTTGGTTCATACTGGAAGGCTTACTAATCTTCCTTTTTTGTTTGTCACATATGCTGCTGTTTAAGCTATTCTATCCTTGTGTAGTTAGCTATCTAAGTCTAGGACTTCACAAATGTCATGTTAAATATCTTGTTATTTCGATCAAGTCATTCTCCAAACTTGTTGAAATCCCTTTAGAATGCTATCCTCCAATATTCCATCCATTCTCTCTATATATCATCTGCAAACTTAATCATCGTGAGACATGGTCAACAAAGTCCTTTTAAAATGCTGAATTAGACCAGGATGTGGTGGCTCACACTTGTAATCACAGCACTATGGGAGGCTGAGACAGGAGGATCACTTGAGGCCATCAGTTGAAGTCTAGCGTGAGCAACATAGCCAGACCCCATCTCTGCAAAAAAAAAAAAAAAAATTATCTGGGCTTGGTGGAATATGTGTCTGTAGTCGCAGCTACTTGGAAGGCTAAGGCTGAAGGATTGTTTGAGCCCAGGACTTAGAGGCTGCAGTGAGCACCACTGCACTCCAGCCTGGGTGACAGAGCAAAGCACTGCCTCTTAAAAAAAATGCTGAATTACCAAGAGATAATATGGGGGCAAATTAAAAATGGGAAGTTTCACTGCTATTTTTATCATTTCTTGAAAGTCTATTTTCTACCTCAAACAACATAAATGTGCCTTTTTCTCAGGTTCTTAGTGCTCCTACAAGTCCATATCATGAAATTTTTCAGTTAGTCAAGGCTGGGCACAGTGGCTCGTGTCTGTAATCCTAACACTTTGGAGACTAAGGTGGGAGGATCACTTGAGCTAGGTAGTGTGAGACCAGCCTGGGCAACATAGTGAGACCTCTTCTCAAGAAAGAAAGAAAGAGAAAGAGAGAGAGAGAAGGAAGGAAGGAAGGAAGGAAGAAAGGGAAGGAAGGGGAGAAAAAAAGAAAGAAAAAGAAAAGAGAGAGAAAGAAAGAAGAGAAAGAAAAGGAAAGAAAGCAAGAAAGAAAGCAAGAAAGAAAGAAAGAAAGAAAGAAAGAAAGAAAGAAAGAAAGAAAGAAAGAAAGAAAGAAATTTTCAATTAGTTATGTGAGCATCCTTTCATCTCTTGTACAGTCAGGATTTCTAACCTTCTCTCTCTCTCTCTTTCTCCATGTTTATATTCTCTTTATCTCCAATTTTTTTTTTATTTTACTGACTGGTTTTCATTTTTGAGCATATTTTCCTCCTAAGTTGTCTTTGTAATTTAGTCATTTATTCATTTATGAAATATACATTGAGCAATTGCTATAAGCTCAGCAATATGGTAAGCAATAAGACCTCAAAAATTAAAAGATGCATTCTTCAAAATTTATTGTCTAATGGGAAAGCAGAGACTTAAACAACTGAAGCACAATGAGCTTTGTTCAATAAAGAAGAATATGCAATGTTTCACGGAATTGAGGTATACAAGGGCGTGATTATGTTGATGACCCAGTAAATTTAACCAAGCAAGGAAGGCAATGAGGGCCAAGCTGGGAGTGGAGGAGTGTGGGGGTGAGGGGCGTGGGTAAGGGAGGTGAGACACTGAAAAAGTAATGGGTTCATTTGCAGAAATGTTCTGGAGCTGACTCACACCTACTCAGGAGAGCCATATCTCGACCCAACACTGTCTTCAAAGCCTTCAGGTCAATAGTTGAAATTGGCCATGGCAGGAGTATTTACATGACAGAAATCAGCAAATGTTCCAAATTTGGGTGCTTTTATTTTTATCAGGATGCGGGTTGTTAAACATTTACCAGCACACCATAGAATCAATGGATGGGAGGAGATGTTATAATTGTTTAAAAGAATTGTTGGAGTTGGAGTCCTAGAGGGAATGAGCTGGAAAGACAGAAAAAAGTGTAGTAAGAGAATGAGATGCCAATGCTGAGATTTTAGCAACCAGTCCAAGGGAAGTTCCTGCTCTTTCCTGTGTATGTCCTTCCCACAGTCACCTTCACTTTGTCACATTTCTCTGAGCCTGGTTTGCTCCTCCCCATCTGCTCCAGGCTCTTTATGTCCCAGTTTCCTCCTAAGGGTATTTATTCCAATCTGTCCAAGAAATCAACTCCAGTCTGAACTAATAATCATCATCATTTTTAATACATTGAAGTTATGTTTTGCATTTGGGCAGAAATTGTCTAGCCACTTCTGCATGCAAGTCTGAGAAAACTGATTTCTATATAGGACTTTCTTCAGAGCCCTTTATTTGGCAGCTAGTGGCATAAGTGATCTGAATAGTACAGAGGAAGATGAGAGAGAAGATGAGCAGTGTGGCTTCTAAGTGGTTATACCACCACCAGTGTCTTAGCCCATTTTTGTGGCTAAAAAAAACACCGAAGCCTGGAAAATTTATAAAGAAAATAGGTTTATTTTGCTCGTGGTTCTACAGACTGTATAAGGAGCGCAAACATCTGCTTCTAATGAGGGCCTCAGGAATCTTCCACTCACAGCAGAAGGCAAGTGGAGCCAGTGTGTGCAGATCACATGGTTAGAGAGACAGTGAGAGAGAAAGAGAGAGAGGGAGCGAGAGAGATAGAGAGAAGGGAGATGCCAGGCTCCTTAAAAGAACCAGCTCTGGGAGGCAGAGAGAGGAAGGATTCTCAGGAGAACTAATGGAGTAAGAATTCACTCATTACCGCGAGGATGGCATCAAGCCCCCATGATCCAAACACCTCCAAGTAAGCCCCACCTCCAACATTGGGGATCAAATTTCAACATGAAGTTTGAAGGGTCACATATCTAAACTACAGCAATCAGTAAGATCAGTCCAGAGAGTGTGTACACAGTCAAAAATCGGCATCTCATCTCTGTTCATAATGTAAGTAAACTCATTACCTTTGGAGCATATCATCGGTTAAATTACTGTAAGTTAAAAGACATGCTGTGCGTAGAAGAATAAAAATGTCCAATATAATGCCTTGCACTCATGGTATCTGATATCATACTAACTTTCAGATGCTCACTTGTGCCCCTGGGCATTCATAAATATTTTCTGTTTATGAATATGTCAAGTATTCCCTTCTGTTGCTTTGATCATGTACAGCTGTTGAGTTAGGGCTAGTTGCAGAAAATGGCACTACAGGGTGAAAAGGACTGCATTCAGACTTTATCAACCATCTGGAGTGGTGAGCTTCTTTGATGTCCTAATATCTCTCTGATTTGATTTCTACAAAGTAGGAAAGTCCCTGGTAAAAGTACATTGACATAGATGTATTGACAGGGGCTCATATCTACAGAAACTTTTGTGCTTGCTGAGAAAGTTCAGTCTTTGTGACAGCAGCCATACTTATAGAAGTATCAAGTGCACCTCCGTTAGTCTATTCAACAAGGATTTACAGAACTGCTTTGCTCACTTAATTTTAGATCGCAAGTGCTGTTAATAGAATCTTCTTCACTGCACTTCATTCTTTATTTCAAATCACCTAGGAAACTTCTTTAGGAAGGTCCTGGGTGCGCAATCTAGAGTCTTCCTCAAGAAAAATGATGCTATCTGTTCATCCAAGAGATTCTGATTTCACCTAACAGGAATGAAGTGCCTATGAAGTGCCTATAGGGTAGTACATTTGACTCAAGCGATGATACCCACTCCCCATTCTTGAGACTACCTCATCAGAGGAACGAAATAAGAATTAAAATGATACATCAGTGAATGGTTTCATTCCTTTTCCTTAATAATGAAAATCTATCCACAGAAATCACCTCTTCTATTAAGAATTGCAATTAATTTCATACATGTAGATGGTGCCATTAAAGTTAAAATGCAATGATAAAATAGCTTTCTATATGTAATTTTAGTAAAGATGTCAATAATATGCCTTAATTTATCCCTGGCCCTGATGTTTCATGATATAATCTTACTTGCAAGATATTTCCATATGTTTTGAGCACTGTACATTAACAGTATAGATTTTTACAGACATGATACATATGTAATTACCTAGAATGATGTATCATTTTGGATGTTTTCTACCTCATATAATATGAATCCCAACTGAATTGGCTTAAATAAAAAGGAAAATCAACTTTCAACGTCATGTAATATAAATTCCAACTCAACTGGCTTAAATAAAAAGGAAAATCAATTGTCTCACATAACAGGTCCTAGGTTGGATAGCTCCAGAACTGGTTGATGCAAGTGACGTCATAAAACACACAGGTTCTTCTCATCTTTCTGCTTGGCATGCTTTGCTTGTCAGCTGTGTCTCTGCTCTTCCCTCATGATCACAAGATAACTGCTACTGTTCTAGTCATCAAGTCCACACAGAACAATATCTAGCAGACAAAGATCTATTCCTTCCTATTACCTTTCATGTGTCATTGGCCAGAACTGGGCCAAATGCCCTACCCTAATACAGTCACTGATAAGGGGAATGAAACTATCAAGATGAGCTTAGACTGTTACATATTTATCCTTGGGTAATATGGGGGAGGCTGTCTTGGAACACAAAATCAGGACCTCTCAGCAAGTAATAGGTTGCACTAAATCAGTAAGGCTCTTCAGTGATGAAGTTGCCCAAGATTCTATCCTCTGTTGCTTCTATTTTCACTCTACTCAGATTGCACGATTCTATATATTTTCCTGCTAATAACCAGTGACTCTCAAATTTATATCTCTAGCCCACAATTGTAGTCCTAGCTTTAGACTCAAAATTCAAAGTGCCAACTACTGCAGACTCTGCAAACTCAACGTATAAATAGAACTAGTTATCTTTTCTCCTACATGTGGTCGCATCCAATATTTTTGACGCAACTAATAAATTAACTATGCAACCAGTCTGCCAAACTAGATAATTCAATATCATTCCTAATTTATCTCTCTTCCTATCCTTATACATTGATTTTATTTCCAAATTGCTGATTCCATTTCCTAAGTGTTCCTGAAATAATGCATCTTCTGCATAGCCTCCAACTTGTTCTGTATGATTCAAGTTTCTCCCTATTCATTTCTACCTTTGTTGTCACTAGAATGATATTCAAACCAAGGAAAAAAGTCAATGACCTCCTTATAGGTTCTGTGAAATCCCAACTGCCTATAGGGGAAAAGGGGGAATCATCTTAAGGCCCTTTACAATCTATCCCCATTGGTGTAAACTCCTCTTCCAATCCTCCCAAGAAACATCCTCAAACTCCTGGCGGCTGAACTTTTTACGATTCCCTGGATTTGTCAAGCCTTTTATGAGCCTTGCTTTTATATGATATAGTTTTTACAATCTTTAATTCTCTCCCCCAGTTTCACTTGGGAAATTCTTGATCCTTCTTTAATACCAAATATTACCTCCTCCAAACAACTGATTGAAAAGTACGTGAAAAAGTATTTAACTCCAAAAATAATTTAAAAATTTGCAATAAAACAATATTGGCTCAAAAACAGTATGCTAAGTGAAAGAAGCAGGCACATAAGACTATATATAATATGATTCCATTTATATGAAATTTTAGAAATGGCAAAAGTACAGTGACAGAAAAGAGACGAGTAGTTTCGTGGAACCAGACACAAAGGGCAGGCTGTCTTCAAAAGGACACAAAGAAACTTTTGGGAGTAACAGGAATGTTTTAAGTCTGTGTTGGTTGTTACATGACTGTATGCATTCTCAAATGTACATTTTCTAGTCTGCACAAATAAATTAGGTGAGCTTTTTATATGAAATCAGACTTTAATAAAGATATTAAAAATACTTATGCACCCAAACTCTAAAGAAACACTTTAAAAATAATATTGAGGCTGGGCCCAGTGGCTCATGCTTGTAATCCCAGCACTTTGGGAGGCCAAGGCTGGAGGATCACCTGAGATCAGGAGTTTGAGACCAGCCTGACCTACATAGAGAAACCCCATCTCTACTGAAAATACAAAATTAGCCGGGTGTGGTAGCACATGCCTGTAATCCCAGCTACTCAGGAGGCTGAGTCAGGAGAATTGCTTGAAACTGGGAGGCAGAGGTCATGGTGAGCCAAGATCGTGCCATTGCACTCCAGCCTGGGCAACAAGAGAGAAACTCTGTCTCAAAAATAAAAATAAAAAATTAATTAATTAATAATAATAATATGGAACTAAAGGTTTTGCCTATTAATTGGCAAAGCTTGAAATTTATACTACCCAGTGTTGGTAAGAATTTATTAAAATGTGTATTCTCCTACATAACTGAGTGGGAGTGATAATTGATAGAGCCCTTTTGAAAAACAATTTGAAAATGTGTACAAGATACTTAGTTTTTTTTCATAACCTTTTAACATGGTTTTTTTATGTCTGCAGATTATTCAAAGGAAATAATCTAAAGCATACATAAAAGGTATATGCATAAATATGTTCCTTGAAATATTTATATCAGACCTCAGAAACAACTCAAATGTGGAAACAAAAGAAAATTGGTTAAGCAAATTATTAGAACTTTGTGTTTTTAAAATCATTTCCTTATCGACTTCCCAAGTCTCCCAGGCAGTTTCCCCAGTTTCCATGGTCCCACATCCTTGCATCCATGTCCCTGTGATGGTCCTGCTTACCTTGCATTGACTTATTTTCATTAGTGATTGTCCCCCCAAAGACTTTAACCTTTCAGCAGCAGGAGTGCATCATATTCATCCTAAAAACCCACTACCTAGCACAGTATCTGACACATAGTGGATGCTCAACTCAAATAAATAAATAACTTACTAGAAAACACTTGCTTGAGGTCCCCTAAAGATCCTCCAAAGTGATCCACAGAGCATGTGACTCTTTTTATAAGGGTAATAGTGGCCATTGTTTCATGTTGTTGTATGATTTTGGAGGCTTTGCATTGATCACCTGGACAGACAGCAAATTTAATATGGTCTTTGGGCTCTTTATTTTTAGCAATAGATATTTAATCATTCTAATACCTGTATCTGGTGGCTGCAAGCAAAATTTGTCTGCAAATGGGATTTAAAGATCAGTGTCTGTACGGCAACTTCAGTTGCATTACCATTATCATCCTTGGGGTCTAACAGAATTTTAATTCCAATCCAGCCAAACTGCCCCATAGGTATCCAACTTCAGTGTGCCTCCAGCTGCTGTTTTGCAACTGAATATTTCTCTCTGAATGTTAAAAGGAGAAAGAGTGCTCCCCAAACTCTATTGAGTTCCATGTAAATGACTTACCTGGTGACCATAACTCACAGCTTAAATTATCTCAAGCCTCAAATTATCTCAAGCGTCACTGGACAAAAAAATAATTTATTTTGATTACAAGTTTGTGTATCGTGCTTCTCAATTCCAAAGGGTTTTTTGAGGTCTTGGGCTATGTCTATTCCTCTATATGTAGCCCCAAGTACCTAATAAAATGTTTTGAACTTTGAAAGAATTCAGTAAATGCTTGTTATTATCTGATTGGCTGGTAATTGTTAAATGTGAGTAACATCTAAGGTAATTATAGGCCACATTTGTATAGTACTTTACCTTACTTAGCACATCCACATAAATACGTGAAATACAAACAGAAAGAAATGAGAATATACACCAACATTTCAGAGAAAAGGAGATAACAATGCAATGTTATATACATTTGGGTTACTCCTTATTAAGATTTATATATCTTCGTGTGAGAAAAAAGAGAAAATAAAAATGATAAATTTCAAGAGTTCCAAAAAAGAGAAAAATGTAATTTCCTTCCCATCTATACAAAAGGAATGCTATATCAAATTACAAAAGATTGTGAAAATTACATCTATGTGTTTCCTCAACACAAAATAAAATGAAAAGCCGTACACAGTGATAAGACAAAATGAATTTCATGATTCTGCCCAAACCCAAATTCATCACCCCATGAATGAAACTCCTGAATCTCCCCCACCAACCTTCTCTGCTCAGCTTCCCTGCACCGGTGATGTCACCACCACCTGGGCACCCATGCCAGGAGCTGTGGAGGCCTATGAAATAGCAGCTATGTGCATTATTGCCATGTCAGACAAGTGAGAAATTTTAAGATACTGAAACATATACAAAGCATTAATCTGATTAAGGTAGCTGACAACATGTGAATTAAGAGATGGAGAATAGACCGGATTGAAAACAAATTAAAAAAAAAAAACAAAAACCTCTTTTATACTACCCTTGACATGCCTTCCTTGCCAATTAACCATTTGGTGAAACGTCTTTTGGCAAACCAATTTCTGAGTAATTAATTTCAATGAACTCACTTTCAGCTAATTAACCTAGAGATATACACCCACTCTGAGCACCTGAACCTGAATCCAACCAATTCAGATTCTTTACACACCTAAAAAAGTTTCATTAACTTGACACTTTATGAAGACAGCAAAGGGGTACTTTGAAAATGTCTAAGTACACACTATGGAAGAATGCAATACAGTAGTGTACTAAAGAGTTCCCTTTAGCACATTTACACATATAACAAACCACACAACAGGAATTTGTACAACTCTTAGCCAGATAGCTGAGGAAAGTGTTCCTGCTTCATTCTTGTCCCAAGTTTCATTTCCTTTACCATTACAATTCTGCATTTCCCACTGATACTCTTTTGTTCCTGTGGGCTATGATTTGCAATGCTATGAGCACTTCTTTATGTATAGATATCTCAGCAATTATTATGAATAAGAATTCATATAAGAATTCTTGTCTATAAGAATTCATATATAAACATTGTCTCTGCACCTGCATCTGTTCAAAGTCAATACTTTAAGTTCAAAGTGGTTCTGTAGTCCTATATTTTCTGCTGCAGGGATCTATAAAACATCTGCTGCACCTCCTGATACTTCAAGATGCTGCCTCTGGGTGTGCTGAGCTGGACTCAGTACTCCCATTTTGTGGGTTCTCTGGTCTCTATTTTGCTTCAGTGCAAAAGTCGTAGAATTCTGGGTTGTTGAAAGGAAAGCGTAGCTTCTTGGCTGGGTTCTCTCCAGACTCTACAAAATGTCTGTTTTACTCTAGTAAACATTGTGTCTGCCTAGAACACCCCCAGGTGTCATAGAGACCCTATGCATAGGCTGCTATGAAGCTGAGGCCTTTGCATGATAATATGAAGCTTTGTAGTCTTACTTCAAATGGAATTTAACTTTTCCCCCCTGGAGCTATAAAGCAGGTGGTATCAGGTAGTAAAAAGAGTGTGATTGCATTTGAAGAAGAAAGAAAAGAAAATGCATAATTAATTTGTCTTATATAAGCCTTACTCAAAAAGCAGGATAATTGCAAATGTTATCTTCAGTGGCAGCATCTGGAATGTTATAAGTCCTAACGGCATTGTATTGATAATGCACTTGGGATTATTTATCTGGAAAAGTATTGCATGAAAACCAGAGCCCATCTTAAAGTAAAGTCTCATCATAAGTCAGGTGCTTTGTTACAAGAACATTTCAAATAAGAATGCTTGAAAAAATGTTATAGATAATAGTAGATACTTCTCAAAGCTACCTAACCACAGCACCAGCACCTCAGGAAAAAAAAAAAAAATCCTAACAGCCAGCCACCTGGAAGATCTGTAACATTCCCACAGATATCGTTGGCTGAGATGATTCTTCATGCTCTCAATATTTGAATGTAAGGATTGTATCGCACATCCCCCATGCTGTGTATCATTCCTGGCTGCTGGACACACTGTGAAGCACCCCGCCTTTCAACAAGAACCCTGTTTACAAGGAGCCCTGTGGAAGCCCCTATGCATTCTACGGCACTGTTCTAGTGAGGACCACCTAGAAATCCCAATTTTTAATCCCAATTTTTTAGAAAGAAACAATAAGATTTTTCAAAGGTGAGTGCATAACACTGTGAAGCATGCAGACCTTCAATAGAAACTAACCTCAAACACCATGGAATATTAATCCATTTTTAATGAAGCTGAAAGCAATGATGCTGATACAGTTGTATAAGCTCCACATGTGCATATTAATCCTAAATACACTTTTGGCTTTGTTTGGGAAGCAATTTCCACTTTCAAACTTTGGGAAATGTATCTGGACCCAAGGAGATATTTGCATTTAAATTACAGTACATGCTTTTCATATCAATTACACTATGGGGAAAAAAGACAATTCTGATCAGATGACCAAAATAAAATTGACACAATATTATTTATACAGTTTGCTTTCAAGACACATGGAGCAAAAGAAAAACAAAAGTTGCCAAGGCAGAATGTTTACTTTAATCACTGTTAAAGATAAAAATATTCAATGATACTTCTTGAAGCATAGTGAGGGAGACTTTATTCAGGACCAGCACGATAGGTATAGGGACCACTGCAATGGGTTCTTGTAGCTGGGAAGAGAGATTGGGCTCAACTCAGAATACAGCATGTACAAGTGGGAATTTACAGCTAAGGAACAGCATGAGGGTCAGTGGATGGAAAATTACTAAGAGAAAGCATCAGGGGTTAAGGGAATTCTGGCTAAACCAACCTAGCAGGATTCTTGCTGAAGCCAGTCCAGGGTGATTGGAACTGGGGGATGATTACCTGGGCAATGGTGGAGGATGAGAAACCTAGTCCGATGTCTAGATGGGAGGGGAGTGGTTTTGCCAAACTGACTTAGCAGGGTTCTTTGCTAAAAGTAGATTTTACCAGAAGCACACAGATAGGCCTAGGAGAAGGCTCAGAAGCCTAACTAAAGTTTGGCCCAGCAAAGAATCTTTGTCACCATGGAGACAGAATGTGCTGTGGAAACAGGATTACTTTTAACCCATTTCCAGAACTTGATCACCTGTTAACAAAAGACTTCCATGGAATGAATAAGCAGTGCTGACTACACTCTGTTAAAAAGCGAAGTTTTCCCTCCTCACTTCATTCCATCCCAGGGGAAGGAGCTCCATAGCACAACCTAGCACTCCCCTACTCCAAAAGTGGCCCCTGCCTACCTCTGCGACATTCCCTGCACCATCGTTCCATGACAAGCTTGTTCTCAGGCCTTACACTTGCTGAACCCTCTGCCAGGAACCCTCCATCAAATTTGCAGATTTTACAAAATCATGTCATTCAGCCTCTGCTGAAATGTTAGCTCCTCGAAAAGGCCTCAAAAAGGCCTTTCTCAGCCACCCTGAGACTTTCTCAAGTCTCCCCACATGACCCCCGCTATCATCATCTGCTCCTCACTGTGCTTCATTGTCACTTCACAACCCTAGGCTCTACCTGCAATTATGTTGTTTTTTTGTAACTTGTTCATTTCCTGTCTCCCCCTAAAATGCAACTTCACAAAAGCAGACACCTGGTGTTTTTTTTTATTATTGCTATATACCCTACACCTTTCACCCTTCTTAATTGCCATGGGAAGAAGGGAGGAAGGATGAATGCAAAGAGGGATGGGATGAAAGATGGGTGAAAGGATAAGGATAGAACAGATGGAAAAGTGGGTTTCTCTTCTAGTGGCTACTTCCCCATAAATACACTCTCTCTCCCATCTTTAAAAAACTAAAATCACCAACTTCCCTGAACTCTGTATTCCCTAAGTACACACCCCCGTTTCCTTCCTTCCATGGCCAAGCTCTCTAAGTAACAGCCTCCACTCATGCAAAACCTATTAACGCTTTTCTCCTATACTTTTCTATTTTAATAATTTGACTAGAAAAGTAACAAATGCTAACTATAACGACTTACCCTACATCTTCCTGAAGTTCTTGTTTTGTGTATATAAATAGAAACATAAATATACAGAGTCCTTAAAAGGAACAGGCCATGTTTATTATACTATAACTTCTCTTTTTCATTTCAGGAGGGTGTTGAGGATATCTTCTGAGACCAAATATACAGATTTCCCTGCTTTTTTAATAGCTGCATAATATTCCATAGCATGAGTGTACTATATTTTATTCAACCCTCTTGATCGACATTCATGCCGATTCCAGATTTTCACTATTATAACCATATTGCAATAAACCCACTGGTACATGTGTCTTCACTTACTCACACTTTTATTTATGTTGCACAGATTCCCTATTCAGCCTTAAACCTGCTACAGTAAATTTTTTGCCCACTCTTCCATATGGCAGATGTCCTATCCAAAACCCTGCCACTAACCCCTTCTTCCCTGGAGTTCTGATAGAAAAAGCAAACACATAGCAGTGATAGTCAAATGAGAACCAGAACTATTTTCTTCATTGAATAAGCACTCAATACCTGGGTTCTCTGATAAAAACCAAGTTAGTGAATTCAGCTTACGGTAGGAGGCTTAAAAGAGACTGTTAAAAACGTAATGATCTGAGGTTTTACCCTAGCTGCAAGCTAAGAAGTTTGTCTGCTACAGTTTCATGGATTCTGGCAGAAGATACAAGACTCTTGTATCCTGAATTTACTCTTTCACTGCATAGCAAACAGCATGAGCTTCATGGTTCCCCTTGTCCCCAAGTCCTATGGGGCAACATAAATCAGCCAGGTGGATGCTACTCACACAGTGGGTTGTGTCACAGCTGAGGAAACTCAAGCTTAGAGGACCCCAATCTTTCACAACAACTGCAAGCAAACCTGCCCAAACTTTGTCCCAGAGGAAGACATCTTTATTATACCAAACAACAAATAAACATTTCCTCTGCTCCAGAGGGAGACACTATCTTTATGTTCCAAGGCTTTCCAGCTTACAAAATCCTTGAATTATAGTCAGTGCTCCTCTCACAAAATGTTCAGACAAATGAGAGACCCATTTGTCTGAGGCTTCCTGCTCTCTTCCTCCAAATCCAAGATGACCACTTTAGAGGGACAAAAGCTGACCTGATTTATAAAGGGTCAAGGATAAAGAAATCAAAACAAAAAGATTGGAGAATAGCTGAATCTACTTCTAGAATACAGATTCTGATCAGATGTCCTTACTGCACTAGAGAAAGCAGTGACAAGAAGAAAAGCCTACCACCTAGATTCAGGAAACAGAATCCTAATCATGCCTATAGTGAATTAAATGGTAGCTCCCCAAAAGTTATATCTACTTCCTAATGTAGGAACTGCTGAGTGTTACCTTATTTGGAGAACAGGTTTTTGCAGATGTTATTAAGCTAAGTTGTAGCCTCCAGAATCAAGAAGAATACATTTCTATTATTTTAAGCTACCCAGTTTGTGGCCATTTGTTATGTCAGCCACAGGTAACTATCACAACATCCAACATATTTCTGAACCAACAATGTGACTATCTTTGCTCCCATCGCCTGGGCTTCTAGGATCCAGTAAAGACAGCGAGATAATCCTGCCAGTTTCAAATCTTCCAACCCCTGAATATCACACACACTCTCAATGGCTGCAATGCCTTTAATTGCCTTCTACCAATTCTCTTACTTCCATGTTGTGTCCCTTTTTCTTCAGTTGTTCTCAAAGTCAGTTCAGGAACACCTAGCTGACTTTTAAACTTTGAGAAAAAAAACTCAAATGCTTTGAGATTTTTTAAACCAGCTGTTGGCATATTTTTTCTTGGTGTGTGTAGAACTATTATTATTTGCTAAGTTCCAATGCCTTCCTTTCATTCTTCTCTGTAATCTTTGCTTTCTGGCCCAGGAGTTGTTGTTTTTTTCCTAATGTCTACTTCCAGATTCTGCCTGTTTCAATTACTTATAGAAAGTGAGATGAGATGAATGGGTTCCATATCTGCCACAACAAATCCTGCCAATCTTCCCCTTCCCTGAACAGACTAATTCCCACATAGAAGTAAACCATCCATCAGTCTCATTCCTAATCCATGTCTGAACTCAATGTTTTGGAATGCTGTCTGACTCCCATTAAATACTTATCATTGCATCTTTCTCCAAGAGTCCTATCACCATAAATTTCCCAATCATTTTCCGCTATGGCATGAGAGAACCTGCCTCTCCACCTGTACTAACCACACTTTAACACTCCCTTACTAATGACTGAAGTTGTTTATGCTTACTTTCCCAGGCTTCCAATATCAAATATTCCAAATCTTGTATAACCTCTAGAGGCTGTCCCAATTATCAAGGGTGAGCTCTCCCAGTTTTTCTTATTATTGACTCCCTCCCTATAGCTTTCAAGAGTGCCTTTCAATAGTTTCTTATATCTGAGCCCCCTCAGCAGGGAGTCCTCCTAGTTTATTCTCTAGAATCTTGCATCCTTTTTAGTTAAACCTCATTAAGCTCTAGTCCAGACTCACTGATATAAAGACAACAAGAACTCCTTGCTTAGTTCTAACATTAAGAACATTTTTATATGCACACAAACTTGGTCGTTGGAGCTTTCATCTGTGATTACCTTGCCCTCTAAGGTTGCAATCCTTCTTATGAGATGGTCGCTCTCTTCTTCACTGTTTTGCAATCAATGTACCTTTCTTCTGTCATCTTCCACTTTTTCTTGATGCAAGACTTAAAGTCATTTCTTTATAAGTGTACCATTGTCTCCACTGCCTCTGAATAAACTTGACTCTTGTAGACAATATTTTCAGCACAGATCTTTCAAATTTGCACCTCAACTCTATGGTTTGTAAACTTCTTTGAGATTTTTTTTCTATCACAACAATATGATATCTTTTCTTTATAATAAGGCTCCCCATTTCTCTCTCTCTCTCTTCATTAATAAAATTCCAATAACTCTCAATGATCAAATCCATTGTCTGAGTCCCTGAAATCCACAACCCAGATAGTATTCCAGTTCAGAGCCAATATGAAAACATATGAGGTGAAAAGGTGAGGTGACTCCAGAAGGTTTTGGACAGATCAAAATCCAAGTTCCTTTGGCCTGGGATTCATTTAAACTACAATAAAATGGAACAATCTGGGATAGGCAATCAGTGCTGCCTACCCATGCCTTGCTATCTATGCCTGTGCCTAAAGCTGAACTATTTCACATAACGATGTTTGCTCAGACACAAGGAATTCAGCTGTTTTGCAGTTAAAGGCCTGATGTTGCAGTCCTAACTGAGAAAAAGGATAAAGTAGCATATTAACTTTGGTATCAAATTTATTCTATTTCCAAATTCCTTCAAAAAAAGAGGGAAAAACAAGAGAAAAGAACAGGCTTGTGTATTAGTTGTACAGTCCTTCTTCCAAGTAATCAGCAGTACCTACAATGTCAAGGACCTCAACTGTGTCAAGAGCCCTGATCTCGTCCACCATTTGATCCCAAAGGCTCTTTCTTATGCATATGTCTAATTTGGCCCCATCCACTCTCGACGCCAGTTAATTAGATTAATTGGTAAATCTTGCCTATTTCACCTCCCAAACCCAAGGGTGAGATTTTATCTAATAAACAAAGCAACAAATTAATAAATATGTAATTGCAAATTGAAAATGCTGTGAAAGTAATGAGTAGAGAGTTTTGCAGAATAAAGGAAGAGGCTAAGACAAAGCCTCAGGAGGAAAGAGTTAAACTGAGAATAGAAGGACAGAATAGATCTATAGACTGAATCAATGTTTATCTCCTCTCTCCATTTATATTTGCACAATATTAGAAATCACATTTTAAAAATATTTTGAAATAGACTATTTTGCCAGTTGGCTTGATTTTTTTTCTTCTTGGCAATTCAAATTTTGTAGAATCACAAATAAAATTTAGAATTAAATTCATTTTACATATAAATTTTGTAGGTTTTATAATTATTAATTTAATTACACAGTACTTGAATTCAAAAGCTATCTTAAAAGCCCCAAATGCAATTGCTCTTAGCTGAAAAACATGTGCTCAACTATTTTGCCAGACATTCTTTAAGTAGGCATAATACATAAAGCATTATTCCCCTGTGAAATACGAGCAAAGGTTGAGGTTTAACATTACTTAAGAGATTGAAGATATTTATTAAATATGCATTAGCAAAATCAATGTTAGAAATTCTGTACTGTTTGCTATCCAAAAAAAACAGATTCACAAATATGTAAAAATAATATGTCTAATAGTTGGCTAGAAGGACTATGAAATTTAAAAACGCAAACAATATATTGCATTTTTTTTTTAAGATAGGGTCTGGCCCTCTGGCACTCAGGCTGGAATGCAGTGATGTGAAATTGGCTCACAGCAGCCTCAACCTCCTGGGCTCAAGTGATTCCCCCACCTCAGTCCCAAGTAGCTGGGGCTACAGATATGTGCCATGCGTGGCTAATTTGGGAGGTTTTTTGTTTTTGTTTTTGGTAATGACAATGAGAGTTTCGCCATGTTGCCCGGGCTGGTCTTGAGTTTCTGGGCTCAAGCAATCCTCCCACCTTGGCCTCCCAAAATGTTGGGATTACAGGCATGAGCCATCATGCCTGGCCAACATATTTCTTTAAGTTAAAAAAATATATATACTTTGCATGTAAAAGCTTTTCCTGATGAAAGATTGTATTAGTCACCATTTTCCAGAGAAATTGAACCAATAGAATATTTAGAGATACATAGAAAGAGATTTGTTATGAGGGATTGGCTCACACAATTGTAGAGACTGAGAAGTCCCATGCAGTGCTGCCTGCAAGCTGGAGGCCCAGGAAAGCAGATAGTGTAGTTCCAGCTCAAGCCTGAAGGCCTGACAAGGGGGAGCTAAGGTGGAAGTCCCAGTTAGAGCCCAAAGGTCCTAGAATCAAGAGTGCCAATGTCTGAGGGAAGAAGATGGACGTTCCAGCTCAAACAAAGAGCAAATTCGCTCTTCCTCCACCTTTTTGTTCTATTTAGGCCCTCAAGGGATTGGATGATGCCCTCTGCATTGATGAGGATGATCTTCTTTTTTTTAGTCTGCCAACTCAAATGCTAAACTCTTCCAGAACCTCCTTACAGACACACCCAATAATAATGTTTTACCTGCTATCCCTTAGCGCAGTCAAGTTGTCACATAAAATAAGCCATCACAGAGGTCATTTGGATGTACTAATTAAGTTAAAGATTTATAAAAAGGAAAGATATGGGTAGATTCTGTGAAAAAGGGCAGAAAATAAATTTTCTGTGTTTGCAGATAAGAACGTTGCTCAAGAATTTCACAAAGTTGGCCGTTGGAGCTCAGCAGCTTAGTCTTTTTGTCCCTATGTCTACTCGATACCAATTAAACAGTCCATTTCCATCAGTTAGTTAATTCCAAAAACAGAATAAATTACTGGTCAAAGGGTTTTTTTAGCTGTATACCCTTTGTTTAGAGGTGGAGTGGGAACAAAATAAAATAGAGGAAAGGAAGAAAATATATGCTCATGAATGTTGATAGCAGCTTTATTTATAATAGCCAAAAATTGGAAACAACACAAATCTTCATCAACAGGTGGCTGAATAAACAAATGGTGGCATATCCATACAATTGAATACTATTCAACCATAAAAAGGAATGACCTGTTGATACAGGCAATGACATAAATTAATCTCAAATTAATTATGCTGAGTGAAAGAATATGGACCCAAAAAAAGTACATACTATATGATTCCATTTTTATAAGATCTAGAGAATATAAACTAATCTATAGTGACAGAAGACAGAAAGTAGATCAGTGGTTGCCTGGAAGGTAAGAGTGACATGGGGGGTGCAAAGATTGGAGAGGGTAGAAAAGAGAGATGACAAAAGGGTATGAGGAATCTTTGGAAGGTAATGGATAGGTTGATATCTTTACTGTGATGATGGTTTAGTTGGTGTGCACATATGTTATAACTCATCAAATTGCACATTTTAAATATGTGTAGCTAATTGTACTTCCATCATTTTTCAATAAGGCTGTAAAACAAGACAAATTTTGAAGTAATAATCTAAGAAAAATTTTGTGAGCAATAAATTACATTGGGATGGAGAGTGGAGTCAGAGAGATTGGCTAGGAGGCTATTCTAAGAATTTAGACAGTTTTTCTAGGATAGAGCTAAAGTACTGGTAAGAGGAATTTTAGTTAACCAAGAAAATACCTACGAGAAAAAGTAAAAATTCTGAATTGCATATTTTTTCAAAACATCAATTTTGTACTTCAAAGTATTGACATTCGTTAGTTTAAGAAAATACCTCCATCCAAGATGTTGCTTGCTAGAGGTCTACTGAGAACCTGTTTAATGAAAAGATAAGACAAATGGGTAATTTTTTTTTTGTTTGCGGGGGATGGAGTCTCACTCTGTCACCCAGGCTGTAGTGCGGTGGCACAATCTCGGCTCACTGCAACCTCCACCTCCCAGATTCAAGCTATTCTCCTGCCTCAGCCTCCCGAGTAGCTGGGACTACAGGTGCGTGCCACCACGCCCGGCTAATTTTTTGTATATTTAGTACAGATGGGGTTTCACCGTGTTAGCCAGGATGCTCTCGATCTCCTGACCTTGTGATCCGCCCACCTTGGCCTCCCAAAGTGCTGGGATTACAGGCATGAGCCACCGCACCCAGCGCTGTGTAATTTTTATATTAGCCATTTACTTTTGATTTGTACATGGTTCACTTTCAAGGAGGAGGTAAGAGGAAGTTATGTCAATTATTGGTATGAAATGTAGGTATATAAACTTTTGAGGTAATTGACATTTATTTTCTTAATATTTAAAGTATTCATCACTTTTAATATTATTAGATTATACAATTTCATATAACAGTTTGCCTTATCTTTTTAAAAATTATCCCAAATTCCAAATTAGTAACTTCTTAAATATTTATATGTCACATACAAGTTTGGTAATGTGATTCATGCAAGTCAAATAAATGTACTACAAGCCTGGGCATGTTGGCTTACGCCTCAGCACTTTGGAAGGCCAAGGCAGGCCGATTGCTTGAGTGCAGGAGTTTAAGACTGGCCTGGGCAACAGGCAAAACCCCTTCTCCACAAAAATACAAAACTTAGTCTGGCATGGTGGCATGTACCTGTAGTCCCAGCTACTCAGGAAACAGGTGGGAGGATCGCTTGAGCTTGGGAAGCGGAAGTTGCAGTGAGCTGAGATAGCACCACTGCACTCCAACCTGGGTGACACAGGGAGAATCTGTCTCTAAATAAATAAATAAGGCCGAGCATGGTGGGTCATGCCTGTAATCCCAGCATTTTGGGAGGCTGAGGTGGGAGAATCATTTGAGGTCAGGAGTTCCAGAACAGCCTGGCCAACATGGTGAAACCCTGTCTCTACTAAAAATGCCAAAAAGGTGTGCCTCCCTGGTGGTCTAGTGGCTAGGATAAAAATACCAAAAAAAAAAAATGAGCCGGGCATGGTGGCACACACCTGTAATCCCAGCTACTCGAGAGGCTGAGGCACGAGAATCGCTTCAACCCAGGGGGCAGAGGTTGCAGTGAGGCGAGATCACGCCACTGCACTCCAGCCTGGGTGACAGAATGAGACCTTGTCTCAAAAATAAATAAATATATAAAAATAAAAATAAATAAATAAATGTACAATAAGAATATTTTCTGGAGTTTAATACCCTACGGTTTTACAGCCTAAAATAATGTGGGCTGTATTCATTGGCATAATATTTTGGGACAAATTAAGCGTTCCTACAAGTAGATTGAAAGCTATTTCTTGAGAAGGAAAGAACACCTCTGTGAACATTGTTTTGCAGACCTGGAGTCATCCAGGTAAGAATGAAGATTTCTCAGTGGAATGTACTCTATCTGATCATTTGGTTTACAAAATAAATGGATATTCTTCAATACACACTGTCTTAGTCCTTTTTCTGTGCTAAAACAGGATACCACAGACTGGGTAATTTATAGTGAACATAAATTTATTTGGCTCACAATTCTAGAGGGTGGTAAGTTTAAGAGTGTGCCACCAGCATCTGGTGAGGTCCTTCATGCTGTGTCATCCCATGGCAGAAGGGCAAGAAAAATGCATGAGACAGAAAGGGGGCCAAATTAATCGCTTTTATCAGGAACCCACTCCCTTGATAACTAACCCACTCTGGAGATAATGGCATAAAATCCATTCATGAGGGCAGAGCTCTCATGATCTAATCACCTCATGAAGTTCCCACCTCTCAACACTATTGCATTGGGGAATTAAGTTTCCAACAACAAACTTGAGCAGACACATTTAAACCACAGCAGTCACCTAGGAACACTAGTGCTCCAAAATCACCCTAGAAAGACGAACTTTTACTGTTTAATATCCAGCTCCTGTTCAAAGCCAGTGATATTCAAGGAAAAGAATCTAAGGGATTTTTTATCCATTTCTCTATAACTATCTTCATTACCACTTACATTACTGTTGAGCTCCACACATGGAGTCTCTAAATGTGTTCCCCACAAGAAACATTTTCAATCAACTACATCCTAATCCTATGCTCTCAATTTTTATCTGGGTAATACAATAAATGGCTATGTAAAAGAAATTTCTGAATTTGTTCCAATACTATTATAAAAGCTTTATGTTGTTCATTGTATTTTAAAAATATTACCTTCACTTTCCCTGTAAAAGGACCCATTTCTTTTAAATTTTACTGTCAGGAAGAAGTTTGTGTCTAAAAAAATATATGTAATCTATCCTGGTATTCTTTGTGATTTGCCTGATAGATCTCCCCTGGTTTCTTAAATCTTCTCATACCTCAGGTCTCACCTGGATATGAGCCACCTGGCTGGGCCCTTGAATATTCTAGACCAATCACTCCTCAAAATACCCTTTATAGACAGTTCTTAAGCCCCTTTTCTCCTCATATCACTTTCTTCTTCTTCTATTACTTTGCACTGGTTACCCCCAAAAAGTAGCCACCACCAACAAATGAGGAAAAATAATTGAAATGCATATTTAAAATTAAAAACAAAAGAAGACCATCCTGGATCAAGCTATCTCTGTTGGGTAGTTTTGTAAAAAGAGTCACAGTTTATTCATAGTCAGCATTCAGGTAAAAATTTCAAAGTAAATATTTGCATGTTATTATGCTACTACTTATCAGGAACAGGCCGCCTATTTATTTTGAATTGGAATCTATTACTATGTTTCCCCAAAAGTTGTCCCATTCAGAAAACTGCAACAGAAAACTGGAAAGAAAAAGAAAGAAAGAGTAAACATTTGACTGAATATTTTAACAATATTGACTCTGCTTTGGTCAGTAGAAATAAATTAATGTGTGAGTCTGCTACTGATACATTTTTAAATAGAAAAATCCGCTTTTTCTTATCCCCCCCCCACTCAATAGATATTGAATTACTTTTTTAGATCTCAGTTGGAAAGGACATTAAATTATAGCCTGCCCAAAAGTCCCAATGTCTCTTCCAAGCCCTGCTTGACCCACGTCAGAGCACCCAAACTTCAGAAGGGAATTGAGATTGGGGAGCCCTTTGGCTCACTGTGATGGCTAGTGTACCACTAGGACTCTTGTCATATTTAACGCAGGCCCTCACAATTAAAAGTATAGTCCTGGAAGAGGAGACCACAGTGCTTCGGCCCTGTGATCTCATGATGGTTAGAGAACTCGAAATAAATGCCAAAAACTCTATTTGCCAAAAGCATACTGACGAAAGGAGCAGTACCAACTCCTCCAATCTGTAGCTCCAAGAGATCAGCTGAAGGAGCATCTTCCATAGACATGGGAGAATTAGAGAGGTAAGTAACAGCCTCAGCAGCCCAGGAAGGTCCTAAAGCCCTCCTCCGTCTCTCACATCAACTTAGATCTCAAAACCTGTTAAATGTGTACTATATCATCTCTTTGAGCCTCTGTCCCAAAAGACTCACCTGCATGCACACTCACATACACATGTCCGTCATTTCATTTTTGGATGAAAACACTAATAGAGAAAGACAAGGTAGTGGAGCAGAATGGACTCTGAACTTAGAAAAAGAAAACTGGATTATTGTCCTGGTTCTGCCATTAATAAGCCATTGACGTTTTATGAGCCCCACTGTCCTCTTCCACACAAAAAAAGACTTAGGTGAAATGAATAATCTTCAAAATATTTTGAAGGCTAATATTCTAGAAACAGTGTATGATTACCCTGCCTATGAAGAAACAGACAGGGAGAAGAAAAAGGTGCAGAGTAGGACTAGGCACCTGCCTGCAGGGCCTGAGCCCCCGATTTACCTCTGGCTTCAGCTGCCTGCTAAATCAAAGCCAGTGCCCATTCAGAATCAGCAAGTGCCCTTAGAGCAACATCACTTTTTCTTTCTTTTTTCTTTTTTACTTCTTTCTTTCTTTTCATTCCTTTCTTTTCTTTCTTTCTTTTCATTCCTTTCTTGTCTTTCTTTCTTTCTTTTTCTTTCCTTTCTTTTCTTTCTTTCTTTCTCTTTCCTTTGTTTTTTTTTGGTTTTTGTTTTGTTTTTTTTTTGAGACAGGTTCTCACTGTCGCCCAGACTTGAGTGCAGTGATGCAATCACGGCTCAGAACAGCCTTGACCTCTCAGGTTCAAATGGTCCTCCCTCTTCAACTTCTAGCCAGAGTAACTGGGACCACAGACTCACATCACCAAGTTGGCCAGGCTAACTTATTATTTGTTTTGTAGAGACAGTGTCTTGCCATGTTGCCCAGGCTTATCTCAAACTCCTAGCCTCAAGTGATCCTCCAGCCTCAGCCTCCCGAAGTGCTGAGATTACAGGAATGAGCCACCACGCCCAGCCTATTTACTTCTTTGAATTCAAGCTTTTGCTCTCAGTTTCCCCTCAAATTTTTGCTATCTGAGCCATGAATTCAAATTGTATTTTTTATGTTTATCCAGCATTTTGCAGCATTTCATGGTTGAAGAATTTTTTGACTATTCCATTATATTGCCAGAATTGGAAGTTACTATTCACCCTTTTACAATACCCACTGATACAAATAATAAAATCATAGGAAACTATACTGCAGACAGCATCCATGAAAATCCATCCCTGTGGCACAGTATCCCAGATATCTGCAACATCAAGATTAAAAAAATAATAATTGTTTAAAATCAAGGGATTAATCAGAATACATCTGCTCCAGTACTTAAGTCCATAAAGGTTTAGTATTTAATGCTACTTACTATCTATCTGAGATATTTAATTTAAGCTATGGTGATAATCTAGAAGCAAAGAAACATATTTTCACAAAAAAAGTCTTAGAATATTATTTTAACAAAATCACAATATTAATTTCCTCATCTGAAAGCACAAGTGAGGCCGCAACGGTATTATATTCCAAGGGTGGAAATCAATCCTGCCTTGGCCAACACAATCCTTCTCATCCCAGGTTCATGGAAAATTGAATTGTCACTCTCTTATTAGTTAGCTGAGTGGGGAGGGCTCCCAGCACAGGGATCTATAATAATTCTGGGCTGAAGTACCTGGGTTAGGCATTGAGCCAAAGCAGGGCTTCCCTCTCCCTATTAAATATCGATATTATCATCAACCACAGCCTGAAGCAGCAAGAATTCCCAAGCACCTAAGTGTTTTTGCAGGCAAGGCGTGGTGGCTCATGCCTATAATCCCAGCACTTTGGAAGGTCAAGGCAGGAGGATCGCTTGAATCCAGGAGTTCGAGACCATCCTGGGTAACAAAGCAAGGACTCATCTCTGTAAAAAATACAAAAATTAGTCAGGTGGCTGGGCACGGTGGCTCATGCCTGTAATCCCAGCACTTTGGGAGGCCGAGGTGGGCAGATCACAAGGTCAGGAGATCGAGACTATCCTGGCTAACACGGTGAAACCCCATCTCTACTAAAAATACAAAAATTAGCCAGGCATGGTGGCATGCACCTGTAGTCCCAGCTACTCGGGAGGCTGAGACAGGAGAATCACTTGAATCCAGAAGGTGGAGGTTGCAGTGAACCGAGTTTGGGCCACTGCACTCCAGCCTGGGCAACAGGGCGAGACTCCTTCTAAAAAAAAAATTAGTCAGATGTGGTGGCACATGCCAGTAGTCCCAGCTGCTAAGAAGGCTGAGGTGGGAGGATAACTTGAGTCTGGGAGTTCAAGGATACAATGAGCCATGATTGAGCCACTGCACTCAGCCTGGGAGACAGAGGGAGACCCTGTCTCAAAAAATAAATTAAATAATTAATTAAATGTTTTTGAAAGAGGAAAAAGAGCAGGAATAGTTAGGGCCCAAGGGGTCCTTGGTCTGAAGGCAATAGGAAGAGAAGGTAAGGCTGAACAAGGACACATTCTCTTTCAACACAGCATGCCTCTGGTAAATATGACCCAGTCCAAGTCCTAAAATCTGGTCAGATTAGCACCCCCTTTGGGGAGTATGGAGGAATAGAAAAGAAGTTGTAGAAGGAAAGAAAGACCACTTACCATTCATATATACATATTTCTTTTTCAAATCTCATTGAAACAGAAAACTACTCTTCTGGCATTTCAGATAAAACATGCCATATTGCTAAATATATGCATATATTATTTTATATATGCACGTATGCATATATATTAAACTAATATATATAAATTATGTTCATATATGTATGTATGTATGTGTATATGTATATGTGTGTATGTGTGTGTATATATAAAGATTTATACCAAAGGCAACATTTTTCTAAATTGGATTGATTTCCGAATTGATAAGGATCTGTACGTACATCTCTTATACAAGTTTTGCTGAGGAAACATTTTAGTCCTATACCCATATAAACAAACTATCATTGTAGCTAAACATACAGAAATGGCCTTACTGTAGGCCTTGCCTTCAGGTTTTTCAATCAAAACTGAAATTGTCAGACATGGAGATCGTCAGAGCTCCATGTTAGGTCTTAGCATGCCAACAGCAGGCATCCTTCAGAGGTTAACATTTTGGTAATATTCATGAGTAACTGAAATTAAAATTAAAGGTTTTTTTGTCCTCACTAGGACATGGTAGAAAAGTGCTAAAATACAACTATTTGTATTGAATGAATAGTTTATTTACTTTTGAAACTAGATTAGCATCTGGACTGTGATAAATCCACTAATTACACATTAAAATAAGGCTCATTCACTTCTTCAAAATGGTTCTAAACTGCTTAGCACAATTTCCAATTGAACTTTGACCTTTGATCTTACATTGAATAGCATTGATGGATCAATGTCACATGAATTATTTTACATTAATGAAACACTGAACCAAGAAGGAGCAAGTAGAAATTATTTTTTCCAATGTCTATTGAGTAAGAAATCAAAAGGCTTATTAGCAGGTATTTTCAAATTTCACACATGAATGGTATCATTCAATACCTTTTTCTAAGAAGAAAAATAACCCACTTAGTGTTTTGTCTTGCCTTAAAGAATATCAAAATCAATTGCTTCCTAAATTGCCTCTCTCATGGAATGTTCACTTCTTTACAACAGCCCTTCAAGCATAGACCACTTCTTCAAATTACAATTGTATAGCTTTCCAACTTTTAAGTACATTTGGGTTTATCAAAATAAAGGGTCTCTCACAGGTGCACTGGAATTGTGCCTAGGAGGAAACAAACTTGAACAGAAATCATCAGACTGCACATATCGTCAACAAAATCCTAGAGGGCTAGTCATTAACAATTGGAGAAAACTGAAATTGAGGCAGCTACCTAGAAATTTAAGAAATTAGGATCAAGTTATTTCTTGCATCCACAGGTCTTAGCTGATGTTTTTGGAAAATAACTATTCAATGCCATTTATATTCCTTAATAAAGAAATATGAAACACCATGGTTATGGTGTTTGGAACTTTAATGACATAGCTACAAATTAAATAAAAATTCCCTTGGTATCACATATTTTGGTATATAATGTTTCAATTATATAAATTGTAAAAATGCTTCATTAGATTATAATAAAGGCAAACCTATTAGGTCTAATAAAATAATATATTTAATTCTCAATAACATTTCACAGGCTAGGTAAACCTTAATTTTTTTTTCTTTTTTTTTTTTATTATTACTATTATTATTATCTTTTTTTTTTAATTATACTTTAAGTTTTAGGGTACATGTGCACATTGTGCAGGTTAGTTACATATGTATACATGTGCCATGCTGGTGCGCTGCACCCACTAACTCGTCATCTAGCATTAGGTATATCTCCCAGTGCTATCCCTCCCCCCTCCCCCCTCCCCACCACAGTCCCCAGAGTGTGATATTCCCTTTCCTGTGTCCATGTGATCTCATTGTTCAATTCCCACCTATGAGTGAGAATATGCGGTGTTTGGTTTTTTGTTCTTGCGATAGTTTACTGAGAATGATGGTTTCCAGTTTCATCCATGTCCCTACAAAGGACATGAACTCATCATTTTTTATGGCTGCATAGTATTCCATGGTGTATATGTGCCACATTTTCTTAATCCAGTCTATCATTGTTGGACATTTGGGTTGGTTCCAAGTCTTTGCTATTGTGAATAATGCCACAATAAACATACATGTGCATGTGTCTTTATAGCAGCATGATTTATAGTCATTTGGGCATATACCCAGTAATGGGATGGCTGGGTCAAATGGTATTTCTAGTTCTAGATCCCTGAGGAATCGCCACACTGACTTCCACAATGGTTGAACTAGTTTACAGTCCCACCAACAGTGTAAAAGTGTTCCTATTTCTCCACATCCTCTCCAGCACCTGTTGTTTCCTGACTTTTTAATGATCACCATTCTAACTGGTGTGAGATGATATCTCATAGTGGTTTTGATTTGCATTTCTCTGATGGCCAGTGATGATGAGCATTTTTTCACCTGTTTTTTGGCTGCATAAATGTCTTCTTTTGAGAAGTGTCTGTTCATGTCCCTCACCCACTTTTTGATGGGGTTGTTTGTTTTTTTCTTGTAAATTTGTTTAAGTTCATTGTAGATTCTGGATATTAGCCCTTTGTCAGATGAGTAGGTTGCGAAAATTTTCTCCCATGTTGTAGGTTGCCTGTTCACTCTGATGGTAGTTTCTTTTCCTGTGCAGAAGCTCTTTAGTTTAATTAGATCCCATTTGTCAATTTTGGCTTTGGTTGCCATTGCTTTTGGTGTTTTGGACATGAAGTCCTTGCCCACGCCTATGTCCTGAATGGTAATGCCTAGGTTTTCTTCTAGGGTTTTTATGGTTTTAGGTCTAACGTTTAAATCTTTAATCCATCTTGAATTGATTTTTGTATAAGGTGTAAGGAAGGGATCCAGTTTCAGCTTTCTACATATGGCTAGCCAGTTTTCCCAGCACCATTTATTAAATAGGGAATCCTTTCCCCATTGCTTGTTTTTCTCAGGTTTGTCAAAGATCAGATAGTTGTAGGTATGTGGCGTTATTTCTGAGGGCTCTGTTCTGTTCCATTGATCTATATCTCTGTTTTGGTACCAGTACCATGCTGTTTTGGTTGCTGTAGCCTTGTAGTATAGTTTGAAGTCAGGTAGTGTGATGCCTCCAGCTTTGTTCTTTTGGCTTAGGATTGACTTGGTGATGCGGGCTCTTTTTTGGTTCCATATGAACTTTAAAGTAGTTTTTTCCAATTCTGTGAAAAAAGGCATTGGTAGCTTGATGGGGATGGCATTGAATCTGTAAATTATCTTGGGCAGTATGGCCATTTTCACGATATTGATTCTTCCTACCCATGAGCATGGAATATTCTTCCATTTGTTTGTATCCTCTTTTATTTCATTGAGCAGTGGTTTGTAGTTCTCCTTGAAGAGGTCCTTCACATCCCTTGTAAGTTGGATTCCTAGGTATTTTATTCTCTTTGAAGCAATTGTGAATGGGAGTTCACTCATGATTTGGCTCTCTGTTTGTCTGTTATTGGTGTATAAGAATGCTTGTGATTTTTGTACATTGATTTTGTATCCTGAGACTTTGCTGAAGTTGCTTATCAGCTTAAGGAGATTTTGGGCTGAGACGATGGGGTTTTCTAGATAGACAATCATGACATCTGCAAACAGGGACAATTTGACTTCCTCTTTTCCTAATTGAATACCCTTTATTTCCTTCTCCTGCCTGATTGCCCTGGCCAGAACTTCCAACACTATGTTGAATAGGAGCAGTGAGAGAGGGCATCCCTGTCTTGTGCCAGTTTTCAAAGGGAATGCTTCCAGTTTTTGCCCATTCAGTATGATATTGGCTGTGGGTTTGTCATAGATAGCTCTTATGATTTTGAAATACGTCCCATCAATACCTAATTTATTGAGAGTTTTTAGCATGAAAGGTTGTTGAATTTTGTCAAAGGCTTTTTCTGCATCTATTGAGATAATCATGTGGTTTTTGTCTTTGGCTCTGTTTATATGTTGGATTACATTTATTGATTTGCGTATATTGAACCAGCCTCGCATCCCAGGGATGAAGCCCACTTGATCATGGTGGATAAGCTTTTTGATGTGCTGCTGGATTCGGTTTGCCAGTATTTTATTGAGGATTTTTGCATCAATGTTCATCAAGGATATTGGTCTAAAATTCTCTTTTTTGGTTGTGTCTCTGCCCGGCTTTGGTATCAGAATGATGCTGGCCTCATAAAATGAGTTAGGGAGGATTCCCTCTTTTTCTATTGATTGGAATAGTTTCAGAAGGAATGGTACCAGTTCCTCCTTGTACCTCTGGTAGAATTCGGCTGTGAATCCCTCTGGTCCTGGACTCTTTTTGGTTGGTAAACTATTGATTATTGCCACAATTTCAGCTCCTGTTATTGGTCTATTCAGAGATTCAACTTCTTCCTGGGTTAGTCTTGGGAGAGTGTATATGTCGAGGAATGTATCCATTTCTTCTAGATTTTCTAGTTTATTTGCGTAGAGGTGTTTGTAGTATTCTCTGATGGTAGTTTGTATTTCTGTGGGATCGGTGGTGATATCCCCTTTATCATTTTTTATTGTGTCTATTTGATTCTTCTCTCTTTTTTTCTTTATTAGTCTTGCTAGCGGTCTATCAATTTTGTTGATCGTTTCAAAAAACCATTGATTTTCTGAAGGGTTTTTTGTGTCTCTATTTCCTTCAGTTCTGCTCTGATTTTAGTTATTTCTTGCCTTCTGCTAGCTTTTGAATGTGTTTGCTCTTGCTTTTCTAGTTCTTTTCATTGTGATGTTAGGGTGTCAATTTTGGATCTTTCCTGCTTTCTCTTGTGGGCATTTAGTGCTATAAATTTCCCTCTACACACTGCTTTAAATGTGTCCCAGAGATTCTAGTATGTTGTGTCTTTGTTCTTGTTGGTTTCAAAGAACATCTTTATTTCTGCCTTCATTTCGTTATGTACCCAGTAGTCATTCAGGAGCAGGTTGTTCAGTTTCCATGTAGTTGAGTGGTTTTGAGTGAGTTTCTTAATCCTGAGTTCTAGTTTGATTGCACTGTGGTCTGAGAGATAGCTTGTTATAATTTCTGTTCTTTTACATTTGCTGAGGAGAGCTTTACTTCCAACTATGTGGTCAGTTTTGGAATAGGTGTGGTGTGGTGCTGAAAAAAATGTATATTCTGTTGATTTGGGGTGGAGAGTTCTGTAGATGTCTATTAGGTCTGCTTGGTGCAGAGCTGAGTTCAATTCCTGGGTATCCTTGTTAACTTTCTGTCTCGTTGATCTGTCTAATGTTGATAGTGGGGTGTTAAAGTCTCCCATTATTAATGTGTGGGAGTCTAAGTCTCTTTGTAGGTCACTCAGGACTTGCTTTATGAATCTTGGTGCTCCTGTATTGGGTGCATATATATTTAGGATAGTTAGCTCCTCTTGTTGAACTGATCCCTTTACCATTATGTAATGGCCTTCTTTGTCTCTTTTGATCTTTGTTGGTTTAAAGTCTGTTTTATCATAGACTAGGATGGCAACCCCTGCCTTTTTTTGTTTTCCATTTGCTTGGTAGATCTTCCTCCATCCTTTTATTTTGAGCCTATGTGTGTCTCTGCACGTGAGATGGGTTTCCTGAATACAGCACACTGATGGGTCTTGACTCTTTATCCAACTTGCCAGTCTGTGTCTTTTAATTGGAGAATTTAGTCCATTTACATTTAAAGTTAATATTGTTATGTGTGAATTTGATCCTGTCATTATGATGTTAGCTGGTGATTTTGCTCGTTAGTTGATGCAGTTTCTTCCTAGTCTCGATGGTCTTTACATTTTGGCATGATTTTGCAGTGGCTGGTACCGGTTGTTCCTTTCCATGTTTAGCGCTTCCTTCAGGAGCTCTTTTAGGGCAGGCCTGGTGGTGACAAAATCTCTCAGCATTTGCTTGTCTGTAAAGTATTTTATTTCTCCTTCACTTATGAAGCTTAGTTTGGCTGGATATGAAATTCTGGGTTGAAAATTCTTTTCTTTAAGAATGTTGAATATTGGCCCCCACTCTCTTCTGGCTTGTAGGGTTTCTGCCGAGAGATCCGCTGTTAGTCTGATGGGCTTCCCTTTGAGGGTAACCCGACCTTTCTCTCTGGCTGCCCTTAACATTTTTTCCTTCATTTCAACTTTGGTGAATCTGACAATTATGTGTCTTGGAGTTGCTCTTCTCGAGGAGTATCTTTGTGGCGTTCTCTGTATTTCCTGAATCTGAATGTTGGCCTCCCTCGCTAGATTGGGGAAGTTCTCCTGGATAATATCCTGCAGAGTGTTTTCCAACTTGGTTCCATTCTCCCCATCACTTTCAGGTACACCAATCAGACGTAGATTTGGTCTTTTCACATAGTCCCATATTTCTTGGAGGCTTTGCTCATTTCTTTTTATTCTTTTTTCTCTAAACTTCCCTTCTCGCTTTATTTCATTCATTTCATCTTCCATTGCTGATACCCTTTCTTCCAGTTGATCGCATCGGCTCCTGAGGCTTCTGCATTCTTCACGTAGTTCTCGAGCCTTGGTTTTCAGCTCCATCAGCTCCTTTAAGCACTTCCCTGTATTGGTTATTCTAGTTATACATTCTTCTAAATTTTTTTCAAAGTTTTCAACTTCTTTGCCTTTGGTTTGAATGTCCTCCCGTAGCTCAGAGTAATTCGATCGTCTGAAGCCTTCCTCTCTCAGCTCGTCAAAATCATTCTCCATCCAGCTTTGTTCCGTTGCTGGTGAGGAACTGCGTTCCTTTGGAGGAGGAGAGGCGCTCTGCGTTTTAGAGTTTCCAGTTTTTCTGTTCTGTTTTTTCCCCATCTTTGTGGTTTTATCTACTTTTGGTCTTTGATGATGGTGATGTACAGATGGGTTTTCGGTGTGGATGTCCTTTCTGTTTGTTAGTTTTCCTTCTAACAGACAGGACCCTCAGCTGCAGGTCTGTTGGAATACCCTGCAGTGTGAGGTGTCAGTGTGCCCCTGCTGCGGGGTGCCTCCCAGTTAGGCTGCTCGGGAGTCAGGGGTCAGGGACCCACTTGAGGAGGCAGTCTGCCTGTTCTCAGATCTCCAGCTGCGTGCTGGGAGAACCACTGCTCTCTTCAAAGCTGTCAGACAGGGACATTTAAGTCTGCAGAGGTTACTGCTGTCTTTTTGTTTGTCTGTGCCCTGCCCCCAGAGGTGGAGCCTACAGAGGCAGGCAGGCCTCCTTGAGCTGTGGTGGGCTCCACCCAGTTTGAGCTTCCAGGCTGCTTTGTTTATCTAAGCAAGCCTGGGCAATGGCGGGCGCCCCTCCCCCAGCCTCGCTATCGCCTTGCAGTTTGATCTCAGACTGCTGTGCTAGCAATCAGCGAGATTCCGTGGGCGTAGGACCCTCCGAGCCAGGTGTGGGATATAGTCTCGTGGTGCGCCGTTTTTTAAGCCGGTCTGAAAAGCGCAATATTCGGGTGGGAGTGACCCGATTTTCCAGGTGCGTCCATCACCCCCTTCTTTGACTCGGAAAGGGAACTCCCTGACCCCTTGTGCTTCCCAGGTGAGGCAATGCCTCGCCCTGCTTCGGCTCGCGCACGGTGCGCGCACCCACTGGCCTGCGCCCACTGTCTGGCACTCCCTAGTGAGATGAACCCGGTACCTCAGATGGAAATGCGGAAATCACCCGTCTTCTGCGTCGCTCACGCTGGGAGCTGTAGACCGGAGCTGTTCCTATTCGCTAAACCTTAATTTTTTAAAAATTTGCTTTGTTTTGCTTTTTGTTTGTTTTGCTTTGCTTTGCTTATATCAATTCAATCTGGTTATCTCAAGCTTATCTAACTTTTCTAACTGAAAACCATTTTAGAAAATTTGAAAAATTGGACAAGGGGCTAATTATACCATAAATAGTCTTTAGTATGATAGATGAACTCTCCTAGACTGGGATGAAAAACTGAAGAACCACTGAACACATATAATACAATCTGAAGGACACGATTGTTCTTTCAGCAAATTAGACTCACCCAGAGGAAGAACCTCCCACTGAAAGGGCAAATGATGCATCCCATTTTCCTCACAATAAGTCTCTTGATAAGAGGCTTTGCAAACTGGAATTCTCAGCACCTGCCCCTACCTCGGCGATAGTGAGTGCCCAAAGCCTTTTTATAGGAAACTTTTCACAGAGTAAGAAACACTGCTCCTAATAACTTACAGACAGAATAAGAAAGAAACACTGCCCCTAATAACTTACAGACCACCACCTCTTCCTCATTTCACATTTCTGTGACCTACTTGAGCTGTCCTAGTCTTCCCTGAGGACGGGACAAGAAATGCCATAACCATTATTTCAAGAATGTTGCCTAAAACAAATACCAACATGAACCCCTGTCCAGCTCTTATGTGCATAAACCATCAGCAGATGGAGCCCTTTGCTAATTCAGCAATAGTTCTGGGTCCTCCTGCTTTGTTGGCCTGTATAAGAGTTGCATTCCGTTTTTGTGGATCACACTGAATTGCTGTCATTGTTAGGATTAGTACATCCTGTGTTTTGCATGGAAGCATCCAGGAACTATGTTTCTACAACTAAATGGCAGGAAAATTAAAATGAGTTTTCTCGGAATTAGAGATAATATTTGATGTATTGCCTTTGCGTTGTCCTCAGGTGTGTGAATACAGAGCTTTGATTCATTCCGTCTATAAACAGTAAGATCTACATGTGTTGCAAGAAATATCGTATCTGTTTGTTCTCTACAAATCAGACTACCATTGATTTGGCCACCATCTCATCAGACTGGAGGGGAATTTAGTAATAAATAGGGATTTTTTTTTTTTTTTTTTTTTTTTGGCGATGGAGTCTCTCTCTGTCTCCCAGGTTGGAGTACAGTGGCGTAATCTCGGCTCACTGCAAGCTCTGCCTCCTGGGTTCATGCCATTCTCCTGCCTCAGCCTCCCCAGTAGCTGGGACTACAGGCGCTCGCCACCACGCCTGGCTAATTTCTTCTGTATTTTTAGTAGAGACGGGGTTCCACTGTGTTAGCCAGGATGGTCTCCATCTCCGGACCTCGTGATCCGCCCGCCTCAGCCTCCCAAAGTGCTGGTATTACAGGAGTGAGCCACCGCGCCCGGCCTAAGTAGGGATTCTTCAACCCCCCAATCCAGGGTCTTGTAAAGGTTCTGGGGTATATGCAGTTTTGAAGGAAGAGAAAACATGGAAGGGAGGATATGCATCTTGTCATTGGTTACCTGCTTGGCTGAGTTATCAAGATGTATGTCGTCCCTACTGCTTCCAAACCAAGTGTGAGATACAGGAATTGTTTATGAAGCTAAAACCTCCCAAAGCCCATTGAGTCTTACTTCCCTAGAAAGGGTAACATGCAGCCATCCTCTCCGGGATGTAGCCAAAAGCATGGCCGAATTCCGTTTCTCTGGAAAGCATAGCCCTCTCTCTCTTCTCTCTTTTCAGCCCTGCAGAATCTTACTGTTTAGTCAGGTAAAAATGCTTCTCCCTTCTTATTTTTCTTAGAATAATAGTCATCAACCTTAGCCATGCATCAGAGTCTGTCAGGTTCATGACTACACCAAAGGTCATGTTGAGGTCTGGAGGGAGTGGGGAAAGGAGCAGAAAGAACACCCAGGCGACCGTAGACAGGTGAATGGCTTTATTAGCAGCCGCTCTCATCAACAGCTTTCTCATACTGTCTGCCCTGTCTCGGCTGCTTAGTCCTGCGGCCCCCACACACAGCTGAGTGGCCGGCTCTCCCTTGCCTTCAGGGTCAGACGCTTAACTCTTTCTCTCTGGCCACAAGCGAGCCAAACTGTGTCCTGGCTCCCCTCTGTTCATTTGCAAAGATGGACAGCTCTGGCTCTCTCACTTTCTCTGGGCACCAGTGCCTGCACAGTGTCAACAGGGCAATTATACCTTTTACAGACAATAGTGGCTAAGGGCCAAGTGGTGAGGTTCCCATGTTATGGCTACATAGCTGTAATAACAAGTGGAGTTATATGCCTGCCCTCTAAACTTGCTGAGTCGCGCAGGATGTAAACATCCTACCTCGGCCTATCCTTAACCAAAGCACAATCATGTTCCTTACAGAGTCACCTGGAGCGCTGTAAAAAAAAGAAAAAAAAATTCATATTCCCAATTACCAAACATACCAACCCCACTGGTGTGCAGTGTGGCTGGGACAATTACTTTATAAGACTCCAAAGGCTTCTAATGTGTAGCCAAGATGAAAACTTATCCCTTCTCTTAGCTATTCCCATGAAGACCTCCCTCTCCCCTCAGTGGGCTTGGTATTTACAAATGACAGCCAGACAGGAAAATGTATTTTCTTCTTTCTACCCTGAGAATGTGCTACTGCCTACTTGAATGGACAGAAGGGAAAATACTAGGAGTAAAAAAAAATTATCATCTGTACATTACATAATATGATCAGATTAAATTTTCTTTTTAAAAAATTTTATAGGTTTTCCATCACAAAATAAATTCAAGCTAATAAAACTTTTAAACAAAGAAGTGGTATAAAAGTGGTGGTGAATCTTGCCTAATTCTTTTGTATAATAGCAATCTCTCAAAATGATGTTATAGTTTTCTTTCACCTATTTATAGAGTAATAATAGAATATAGATATATTCCCTAAATTGAACTGAGCTTCTTGAAATAAATCCTGCATAATGATGTTAGTTTTTGTAATACAATGCTGGACCCAAGTTGCTAATGATTTACTCGGGATTCTTACATCTTTATTTATAAGTGACATTGATTTGGCAGCTGTATTGTGCTTCGCTACTGACATCAGGGTATGGGGATCTCAGAGGATGTACTAAGAATCTTTCCATCTTTTTCTCCATGCCCTAGTGCAGTTGACAAGGCATAGGAATTTCATGTTCCTTCAAGGATGGGTGGATCTTCAGCACTATAAAAATAAAGGATTAAATCTGATATTGGACTACCTTTTTCATTTTTTTCCAATGGTTTGTAGAACAAATAGAATTCTGTTTTATACTTCTTTAGTTAACATTCATAAAATTATAATTTTCTTAAAAAATTATACTCAATATAGATATTCAACTTGTTTTCATTTGAAACTGTATAAATAGTGTTTTTTTAAAACCCCTTTTCTGTCACGGTTACAGTTCTTTCTTATTCCTAACATACTCATTGGTGCAGTGGGAGAGCGTCTGGCTCTGAAAAGTGTGCAGTGTCCAGAGCTTCGAGGAGATCCTGATGTTGTGTCTGACTCTCACCAAGAGAACAGCTCTGGTGGCGGACAGAGTGGAATGGGTGCAGAGGGCCAGGCTGTGCTTCCACCCACAGCCAGGAGCAGGACACTGCACTTTCTGCACAGAATAAGTGGATCACGGAATAAGTAGTTAGCCAGAGTGAGACTGGAAAAGACCCTGTTCAAGAAGGCAACCTGGATTCAGTAGAAGCAAAAAAGTGTTCATTTGGAGGGTACATCCTCCTCTCAGGAATGGGGCAGCAGGAGGTTCCAGTGCCTCACAAGCAAAAGAGCATGTGGCAGAGCCAAAGGAGCACCTGCCATAGCTGAAGAACTGGACTCCAATTACACTGAGCAAGTAACACCTCCCCTTCCACTCACTTTGTCCAGCCCTAGAGGAGGCAGAGGGACATCCATCTGCTAATGGAAGAGTGAGGTAGAGAAAAAGTTAAGAAACCAGCTGTATTATGGTTCTTCAGAGAGACAGAACCAATCTTCAGAGAGACAGAGAGGCAGATAGATGTAGATGATATAAATAGACAGATGATAGATATAGATACAGGCCAGGCACAGTGGCTCATGCCTGTAAACCTAGCACTTTGGGAGGCGGAGGTGGGCAGATCACCTGAGGTCAGGAGTTTGAGACCAGCATGGGCAACATGGCGAAACCCCATCTCTACTAAAAATACAAAAATTAACCAAGCATGGTGGTAGGTGCCTGTAGTCCCAGCTGCTTGGGAGGCTGAGGCAGGAGAATCCCTTGAACCCAGAAGGCAGAGGTTGCAGTGAGCCAAGATTGTGCCACTGAACTCCAGCCTGGGCGACAGAGCAAGAATATGTCTCAAAAAAAAAAAAAAAGATATAGATATGGATATGTAGCTACAGAAGAGATGACTTATTAGGAGAACTGGCTCAGAGGATTGTGGAGACTGAGAAGTCCCATAATAGGCTGTCTGCAAGCTGCAGATCCTGGGTTGCCAGTAGCATGGCCTAGTCTAAGTTGGAAAGTCCTGGAAGCAGAGAAGCCTATAGTATAATTCTGTGAGAACCCTGCTGATATAAGTCCTGGAGTCCAAAGGCCAAAGAGCCTGGAGTTCTGATGTTCAGGGGCAGGAGAAGAAGGGTGTCCCAGCTCTAGGAGAAAGAGAGAGGGAATTTGCCTTTCCTCTGCCTTTTGTTCTATCTGGGCCCCAACTGATTAGAGCATGGTACACACCCACACTGAAAGTGGATCTTCCCCACTCAGTCCACCTACTCACATACCAATCTCCTATAGAAATGTCCTCACAGACACATCTATAAATAACTGGTTCCTTAATCTGGTCAAGTTGACACCAAAAATGAACCATCATGCCTGCCATCACCATGCTTTTTTCCCCAAAAAACTGTTCCAGGTTTCTGAACCTGAATCAGGCTTGAGTTGGGAAATGTGAGAAGCATCCCTATCAGAATGGACTAGACTTCCTAATATCTGAAAAGCTATGGAATCTGCCCAATACATTACCCAAAAAGAAGAGGAAGAGGAAGAGGAAGAGGAAGAAGAAGAAGAAGAAGAAGAAGAAGAAGAAGAAGAAGAAGAAGAAGAAGAAGAAGGGGGAGGGGGAGGGGGAGGGGGAGGGGGGAGGAAAAAGAAAGAAGGGGAGAGGGGTTCTATTTGTACTTCACCGAATTCAGCTTGTGCAATAGACCAGTTAAACAAGTATTAGAATATGAGTTTAGTGATTGAGAAACATAAAATATTTGACATTTTACTTTCACGGGAAGCCTTTGTGCAAATGAAATGCAGAGCATTGAGCTGAAACATTTATTGCTGAATGAAAACAATACCTACAGGCTCCTGCATGCATATGAGAATTAAGTAGATGAAAAATCTGGCATTTCAAACAAATGAGGAAGATATTAATTTTTTAGTAAAAGATTTTAGTCAATTGGACATCCACCCTGAATCTAATCATGAGGAAGCAACACACAAACCAATCTGAGGTACACAGAAGACAAACTAAGGAGCTTTTCTGCTTTAAACTAAAGAGATATAATTGGCCAGGCAATTACACCTATAAGTCCATCACTTTGAGATGCCAAGGCAGGAGGATTGCTTGAGGCCAGGAGTTTAAGACTAGCCTGGGCAACATAGTGAGACCCTGTCTCTACAAAATTTTTTTTAAAAGAGTGAAGTACAATTAAATGAAACAAGTAATCCTGCTGTGAATCCTAGACCAGAACTTTTTTCTTTTACTGTGAAAAACATAAGTAGGACAATTGTCCAAATTTGAATAAGATTTGTAGAACAGATAATAGCACTATATCAATGTTCGTTTCCTGATTTTGATTATTGTATTGTGGTTATATAAGAGATTGTCCTTGTTCTTAGGAAATAAGCATTAAAATATTTTAAGGGTATAAAGGAGATGTATTTCTGTAACTTGGCCTCAAAACAATTTGGAGAGAGAGAGAAAGAGAAAGAGAGAGAGAGAGACAGAGAGGAGAGAGAGAGTGTGTGTGTGTATGTGTGTGTGTGTGTGTTCAGAAAAAGAGAGTGACAGACCACGAGAGTGGGGCACACACAATTCAATCTCCTATATACTGTCTGTTCTACTTGTCCAAACTCTGTATTGTTGACTCATTTCACTCTCATGGTTACAACAATGTAAATGCTCAACAGTGTCTTGCTGACCTCTACACATGCCCCTTGATTTCCCAACTTAAACATTCATAATGTTAAGCCTACATATTCTTTCCTCAAATAAAATAGAGAGATAAACACAATGAAAAACCAAAGGACTGTAGATATTCTTTTAAGTTCACACTTGAGGAGTGCACAAATCTCTACTGCTTACGTGTGGACTGTGCAGTGTTTTCCTTCCAAGGAGCGCAGCATGGAAAGAGGGAAAAAGGAGTACTTTCACATTGTGAAGCCTACAAACACTACCTCAAGGCACGTGATCAAGGGTAACATTAACAGTACTAAGTCTTATAGGTAGAACGTACTCCAGATACGATTTAATGAAGGTTTTCCTCCCAAACACCCATAATTCCAGTCTAATTATGAGAAAAACATCAGAAAAATCTCCACTGAGGGACTTTTGACAAAATACCTAATTAGTTCTCCTCAAAACTGTCAAGGTCATCAAAAAGAAAAAAGTCTGAGAAACCATTACAGCCAAGAAGGAGCCCAAGAAGACTTGACTAAATGTAACATGATATGCTGGACGGCATCCCGGGACAGAAAAAGGGCATTAAGCAAAAACTAGCAAAATCTGAATAAAGTGTGGACTTTTGTTAACAATAATGTATCAGTCTTTGTTTATTAATTGTCCCAAATGTACCATATGAATATAAGACATTAATAATAGGGGAAATTGGGTGTGGAGTATATAGAAAATCTCTGTACTAACTTTGCAATTTTTTTGTAAATTTAAAACTGTTCTAAAATTTAAAAATTGGCTAAAAAGAAAAACAAAGGGAGCAATATCTTCATATATATGTAAATGCATATGTTATGCTTGTATGGGTTCTAATGGAGGGCAACACTGTTATTTTTAAATAACATGTGCAAGGTAAAAAAAATTCAAATATTAACAGAAGCTAAAAAATTAAAGCTAAAAATGGAAAGTAAAGAAATAGTAGGCGGGTGCAGTGGCTCACGCCTGTAATCCCAGCACTTTGGGAGGCCGAGGCAGGCGGATCACGAGGTCAGGAGATCGAGACCATCCTGGCTAACACAGTGAAACCCCGTTTCTAAAAAAATACAAAAAATTTGCTGGGGGTGATGGCATGTGCCTGTAGTCTCAGCTACTCGGGAGGCTGAGGCAGGAGAATCACTTGAACCCGGGAGGCAGTGTGCAGTGAGCCAAGATCACGCCACTGCACTCCAGCCTTGGCTACAGAGTGAGACTCTATCAAAAAAAAAAAAAAAGAAAGAGAAGAAAAAGAAAGAAAGAAAGCAAAAGAAAGAAAGAAAGAGAAAGGAAGGAAAGAAAGAGAAATTCTATGGTAAAGGAGTGAGACGTCATAAAGTTTATTTTAAAAAAATAAGGTTTTTTCATAAAAAGCACTCTACGCTATTTTAGAAAATTTGCAGTACTAGTGTATAAGAACATACCATACATACTATACAAATATACTAGTTTATAAGCACAAAGTCACATGTACTTTCTTTTTTTATTATTATTATACTTTAAGTTCTAGGGTACATGTGCACAATGTGCAGGTTTGTTACATGTGTATACATGTGCCATGTTGGTGTACTGCACCCATCAATTCGTCATTTATATTAGGTATATCTCCTAATGCTATCCCTCCCCCACCCCCCCACCCCACGACAGGCCCCGGTGTGTGATGTTCCCCTTCCTGTGTCCATGTGTTCTCATTGTTCAATTCCCACCTATGAGTAAGAACATGCAGTGTTTGGTTTTTTGTCCTTGCGATAGTTTGCTGAGAATGAGGTTTCCAGCTTCATCCATGCCCCTACAAAGGACATGAACTCATCCTTTTTTATGGCTGCATAGTATTCCATGGTGTATATGTGCCACATTTTCTTAATCCAGTCTATCATTGATGGACATTTGGGTTGGTTCCAAGTCTTTGCTACTGTGAATAGTGCCGCAATAAACATATGTGTGCACATGTCTTTATAGCAGCATGATTTATAATCCTTTGGGTATATACCCAGTAATGGGATGGCTGGGTCAAATGGTATTTCTGTTCTAGATCCTTGAGGAATAGCCACGCTGTCTTCCACAATGGTTGAACTACTTTATAGTCCCACCAACAGTATAAAAGTGTTCCTATTTCTCCACATCCTCTCCAGCACCTGTTGTTTCCTGACTTTTTAATGATCGCCATTCTAACTGCTGTGAGATGGTATCTCATTGTGGTTTTGATTTGCATTTCTCTGATGGCCAGTGATGATGAGCATTTTTTCATGTGTCTGTTGGCTGCATGAATGTCTTCTTTTGAGAAATGTCTGTTCTTTCAATTAAAAAGGTGAGGGGGAAAAAATCACCTATATTCCTAAGAATGAACTTTTAATATAACAACAATTTTTGCTTTTAGTTTATTCTCTTCTTTAAAAAGTATTTTTTCATGACAAAAGTAGTACCTGTTGTTTTAGAAAAAAATGTGAATGCAGGAATGTAGAAGAAAAAAAAATCACTCAAATTCCCAGAAAAGGTTGATTATTTTATCTTAAAAGTTACTTTGCATTGATTCCTGATTAGAAAAAACGTTTAGAAAATACAGAAAAGTACATAGTATGAAAAATAAAATCACCAATATTATCATGACCTTCTATGTGGCTCTGTCCCCTAACCCATATTTGGGTGTGTGTATGGGCAAGAATGGTGTTATGTGTGTCAAACTACAAATACACAGTGATCTAGGGAAATGCATATGATCAAAGGTTAAGTAAACAAAGCACAGTGCAATAATGCATTTACGGTTACAATCTCAACTATATAGGTGAAATTGTATGTCTTAAGATTATACTGACTATGCCCTTTGTAATATTCTTGATTCACTTAATTTTAACTCCTACTCATGTCATAAAATATTTTTCACTATTAAAAAAAAGTTGAAGGGAGCTTTTCATAAAATATGGAAGATTAAAACTAAAGTGGCATATCTTAACCCTCCCTTCCAGACTTTGGTCACCGAGGGCAGGACACCTCCAGAGCCAGACATCTCTCTGCTCAGCCGAGAAAAGGCTAAGGGGTTGGGTTGAACCCCAAGGCATCAACTGCCACTGTAGTTTCACCCTACACGAGAATTCAGTCCTTCTCCAGGGTTCCTTTGCCCTTCCCACAGTCCACCAGAGCAGGGCCACCCCGGCAGGTGCCTCCCTCCAAGCTCTGCATCAGAATGGAAGCTAACTTTTTATTGATGCATTTACTTCCAAGATCCACTCAGAAAAATAGGGGCTTGATTATTATAATCAGCTGCCGTGTTTGCTTAGGAAGACAAAGTTTAGATACTTCTAGGAATCAAAATATTTTATGTGGTCAGGTTATGATGACCAGTACAAAATTATCTGATTCACTTTTTTTTTTTTTCGAAAACAGCACCTTCTAAATCAAGCATATTCAATGTGACTTTTACTTTTTATCAAAAAAATACATTTTAGGATAATTTATCATGTATTACAATTGGACAGTTTTTCAGAAGTTTCTTTCTTTGCTTTGTTGTGTCATAAATATCTCAGTCCTGAATGGATTGCCTTGTACATTCCAGAAATTCATCAATATTTCTTCTCTTCTTGTGACACCCTTTCTGTTATCATTAGTCAGATCAACAGTCAGCCCGTTCTGGCAGCTATAACAAAATACATTACATTGAGTAATTTATAAACAAAAGAAATGTATTGCTCAAAGTTTCTGAAAGCTAGGAAATCTAAGATCAAGGCACCAGCAGATTTGGTGTCTGGTGAGAGTTGCCCTCTCACCTTATTGCAGCATCCTCACATGGTGGAAGTCAGGGCAAGCTCACCTGGGTCTCTTTTATAAGGGCACTCATCCCATTCATGACTGTGTTCATCCATTTTCACACTGCTATATAGAACTTCCAGAGACTTGGTAACTTATGGAAGAAAAAGGTTTAATTGATTCTCAGTTCCACATGGTGGGGGAGGCCTCAGGAAACTTACAATCATGGTGGAAGGTGAAGGGAATGTAAGGCATGTCTTACATGGCAGCAGGAGAGAAGGAAAGTGAGGAGAGAACTTCCAAACACTTTTAAACCACCAGATCTCATGAGAACTCCCTCACTATCACAAGAACAGCATGGGGGTAACCACCCTCATGATCCAATCACCCCCCCACCAGGTCCCTCTGTCCACACATGGAGATTACAATTTAAGATAAGATCTGGGTGGGACACACAGCCAAACCATTTCAATGGCCTAGTCACTTCCCAAAGACCATACCTCTTAATATAAACATATTGTGGGGTAGATTTCAACACATGAACTTTGGAGGGACATGGATATTCAGACCACAGTATCATTGCTGTGATGGGTTTATGTTTTAGTTGTGTATTTCTTCCATCACTTCAAAGGTAATTTGGGGGAAAGAAAAGGTAAATGCAGCCTCTGTCTGCTGATTTGAACTGGGAGTAGTTGATTTTCATTTTGAAAGAAACCTCTGGCAGTATTGAGGAGAATGAATTCGTGGAATGTAGGAACAGAGGCTGGAAAACAGTAGCTCCTGTGATCATCCAGATGAGACATGCTGGAAGCCAAAATTAGAGCCACATCAATGGGAAAGAAAGGAGGGATTAGATGGGATGTTGCTTTTGAGGAAGCTTACTGTGTTGGTGGAATAACAAAACACAACACAAAACACAACCTGAGTTTCTCAGGCTTTATCATGTAACGATCATGCAAAGTATAATATCTCAAACTTCACAGGTTTCTCATCCTGTTCAGACAAGACCACTGCCCACAGTAAAGTGTCCCTTCATTATTCCAGGAGTTGCCAAGGAGTGGTTTGCACATGCTCACAATGTGTCTATTCCTGCAGAACTCCACTGCTTCCATGAATACCTCCAAAGACAAAGTGAAGTCCTCACATACCACTTAGTGATTTGAAATAACACCCAAGCTGTAACCAAGTTCATGCCCTTGACAACTAAAGCTTTCTTCCTGGGTCAAGCTAAGCACTACTTTTTACTTAGAATAGGTTATCACCCAAGATAAACAGGAGTTCTTATGATAATAGATAATAACTCCTTTAAGAGAAAAAGGTTAGGGTTGTCCAAGGAAGTGGGAATTTTGCTTCCAGACTGCTTTTGGACTTGAGCTACAACATCCACTCTTTCCTGAGTCTCTAGCCTGCTGGTCAGCCCTAAAGATTTCAGAGTTGTCAGCCGCTCTGGTATGATCATATCTACCCCTAATTCCCACTGGATTTGCATGAACATAGCTAAATTGCATTTGAATTCAAACTGTGACCTCCCTCCTCACTCCCTGCCCATCATACCCAAAATAAACATTTTTAATAATACAAAGGAGCAATTTGTTAAGTTCTAAGAGAATAACACAGACAACAATGAATATACATATTCACAGATAAGATTACTAGTTAAGAAGAAATTGTCTGAAACAAAGAATCATAATTGATCCTTTAAAGTCTTTAAGTATTTAGAGACCTAGAGAGGTTAAAAGCAAGAGTTCCAGGAAAATGTATCAGCAAGAGGAAGGCTGTCAAGGCAGGAGCATGTTCACATATTCAGTGATTACATGCAAGGAATCATGCCAGGACCTGGGGATGTTCAGATGGTTAAGGTAAGTCTCTGCCTTGTGGTAGCTTTGTAAGTCTAGCTCAGATAACATCTATATAAAATCCTTACAACTGTTGAATATGGAAAATGCTATACTTGCCACAGTTAAGAGAGTGTTAATATTCAAACAGTTAAATATTCAAACAGAGGAAGAGGTGATAGAAAGTATTAGGGAGGAGGTAATATTTGAGCTGGGCCCAAAACGGGTAGCATTACGTCAGGCACAGAAGGCAAAAAGGGAAATCCAAGCAGAGGAAATAGCGCAAGCAAACATATAGGACATGTTCAAGAAATTATGCCCATTTCTTAGTTAGGCCAGGAATGTCATGGGAGATAGGACAGGAATGTTAGGGCAGGCTTCTTAGAGCAGGTAATTAGGCAGACATGAGCAAGGCAGGAGAGGCCCCACCCCCAGGAATGTCAGGCAACCATCAGGTGATGGTCAGGTGGCTGTTAAACAACCACTGTAAAATAATAATTGGTCATGACCAGCACCAGGGAAACAGAGTCTCCCAGTAGGTAGTAAACACCTGAAGCTGGTGATCAGCAGCTTCCTGATAAGATCTCAGGAGCTGGATGAGTGGGCTCAAGCATGTACGCTAAGAGGCAAAATGGCAGCATTTAACCAGTACATGACCCTCCTTTAGGAACACTAGACTGGTAAGAAAAAAACACCTAAAGTGTGCTGTACAGCTTCAGTAAGCACACTGTGCATGTGGCCCCTCCCAAGTGCTGGCAGGCCACTGCACATGCAGACAGCTCGCTCCAAGGGAAGAATCAAGGGAGAAGAAACATAAACCCTGGAACCATGCCAATGTACAAAACCCCAAGTCAAGGGCCAGACAGGACACTTGCATCTCTTAAGTCACCTTCTTGACCCTCTTCCAAGTGTACTTTACTTCCTTTTGTTCCTGCTCTAAAACTTTTTGATAAACTCACTCCTGCTCTAAAATTTGCTTAGGTCTCTCTCTCTACCTGAAACCTACTTCTGCTCCTCAGCCAAATTATTTCCTCCAAGGAGGCAAGGGTCAGGTTTGCGGCAGACCTGTCAGATTCGCCACTGGTAACAGGCTCGGGCTGTGGAAGAACTTTAATCCCAGAAGTTTGGATTTTATTCTTCAGGCAGTGAGAATTCCCTGAAGAGCAAGCAATGGGGTCTGAGTAGAAGTTTTATGAAAATAAATCTGAAAACAGCATATGGTACAGAAAGCAAGAGTGGGGAACAAATTTATCTATAGATACAGGATGAGCTAGAAATCTAGCTGCAAAAGCTTATAGTAGAAAAATGGAAGGTTGTGAAAGACAGCACAAATGAACAGACAGGAGGCAACGTATGTGAGAGATGTTGCACAATAGAATAAACCAGGATGCAACAAGTGGTTGAGGTGACAGGTAAGAGATACAGACAAGTTAAAGAGGATGGCTTGATTTCTAGCTGGATGATGAGGTTGGTGATACAATTAACAGAAATAATCTCAGAGGGGAGGGAAGAAGATAATATGAACAAGTCATGTTCAGGGACTCAAATGTAAAACATCCTAGAATGGGCTTCTCAATAAAAGCTTCAGGAGATTTAGGAACACCCAAAGGGAATGAATACACACACACACACACACACACACACACACACACACACACACGCACACACACACAAAATCTGTCATCAAACTCTCAATCACATCTGAACTTTCCCCCAGCTTTTTAGCTTGGTTCTATTCTTCTAAATGGATAGAGCCTTTATATTGAGGAGTGAGTGGTTAGAAGTAAATTTGAAAAATTTGATGGCCTGTGAAGGAACTTAAAATCTAGATGAGGGGTCTTGCAGAAAAATGGGGGAAGTGGCATTTTTTAAATTGAGGCAAGAAACAATGAAAGTGATGTTTTAGCAGATTGATTTGAAATAAAAAGCAGAACTATTTGAAGAAAGAGACCAGAAATAGAAAGACCAGGTAAGAAGGCATTAGGACAATCCAGGTAATGAGCGAGCCCTGGGGAGAACAGAGAAAAACAACCTGGAAACAATCAAGGCAGATGTACAAGGACTGAGTGACCAGTTGAACATGGGAGTGAAGAGAAAGGTAAGCCTGACCTTGGTGATTGTGGTGCTGTTTGCAGAAACATGGACTTTAGGGAGAGACCGTTCTTACTGAAGAGCTATGCTACATGTGCTCAGTTGAAAGCAGTGCTGGGATGTGCAAGCAAACATGTTCAGGTCATCAAAGGAGTTAAAGAGTTATGCCCAGGAAAGAGTTCAGAACCAGAGACAAATTCAGGCATCATCAGCACCAATAAAACCCTAAAAGAGCAGTCGTGAGAATATGATCGTTGAAAAAAAAAAAAAAAAAAGCTAAACCTTGAATCAGAATAAAAAGAAAACTATCAGAACATATAAATTGAAACAAAATGGTAGAAACAATCTAGGTTTTGGTCCATGACCTTTCACTAAATAAAGACCACAATCTTGGGATCCATTCAGTGCTAACAACCTCATTTTAGAGAGGAAAATAACATGCCTAAGCTAGTATGAAAACAGCACAAAGGCACATTTTTTTTTTTATTGATGTCTTGGAACCTTGGAAAAAGCACAACTCATCTGAAAGCCTTGACTCTCTGTAAACAGTAGTGTGTCCCTTTGGAGTTGGGTGTGCCTCTGAATTACACACATTTCCCTCAAGCTGGGCATACACTGTCACTATCCATAGCTCTACCAGGAAGAAAGAATGGTTTGAAGTGATCAAAAGACAAGGGGCAAGCCTGCTTTTGCCCCTTGCCTCTCAGCCTTCCCTTCCTAACCCCATACCTCCCATCCTCTCTCTGCGGTGTCCATTCTAGCACCATTGTCCATCCGTGTTATCTGACAATCCGTAACAGCCCCCACTCCAACCCAGCTGTCAGGAAACAACAAACCCAGTTTACCAAGCACCTGAAAGAGAGCACACTTCAGAAATTCCTAGAGAAGATGGGTAGAGAGGCACAGGAGTCATTTAAGGCTGCTGCAGCCATAACCCACATTTACCAACAGAACTGGTAGAAATGAAAGTCAAACTTGCTTTGTCCTTAGTCCATGGATTCTTTCTAAATATAGAACCTGCTGTAGAAACAAGGGATTGGGGAAGAGAGGGAGGGAAGGACTCAGAGATCGAGAGTGCTTGGGAAAAAGAGGGAAAAAAACTACTTTCATTTTTCCTGTGAAAAATAGAAGACACGTGGCAGATAGAATTCTCATCCAATTCATTGATCTTAGCTCTTCAGAGATTCTTTCAGAAGTAATTAGAAGCTTTTTTCTTGTCCAACAATTCTGTACTCAAGGAGAGCCATTTCCTAAGTGAAATAAGCTTATTTTTTGAAGAAGCTTATTTAGCATTTTTAGATAACTTTAGGTTGAAGAAGCCTATTGGACAAGATGTTCTATTTTAAATCCCATGAGGAAACATAACTGTTTGTTTGAAGATGGCTTGTTTGTTGTTTTCTATATAAAATTGGGCAAGAGGCTCTTTAAATTTTTTATAAATACATAAATAAAACATGGATTTCATGTCCTTTGGAAAGCAACATTTGTATATTTATATGGAGTTTCACTAAATATGAAACAAAAGTCTGCTATTTCTAAGGCATTTACATTCATGGATATTGTATTATTATATATTCATATACAATACAATTCACAGAAATACAAATTGCTGAAATCTTGTTGGGAGTGAATTCCATTTTAAATTCTAAGTACATGTTATGCTAACCTAGCATCTCACCAGTAGTCACCTACCACTAGATGGGAAGCACTGGAGAAGCAGAACAGCCACATACTCTAAAAGTATGAAAGAAATGGCAAAGTCAGTCTGGTATTGGTCCGTGCATTAGCCAGGGCCATCAGGAGACAAAAACACACCAGAAAGTTTAGTTGGGAGAATTTAACATAAAGAATAGTTAGCCAGGTATTGGAGAATTGGAAATGAAAAGGGGGCCATACTGAGGTATCACAGAGATAGTAACTACAATGAGTAGCTACCACCCCAAGGACTGTGGGAACAAAGGGAATGGAATGGAATTAAGAAAATGTAGAAGCTTGAAGGAGGGACCCTCAAGGAGCTGGCATGCAGATCTCTGAGGAGGGAAAGCTGGCATTTCGGGGCAGGAGAGGGTGGGGACAGGTGTTTAGGCTGGTTCTGAAAGTACTGCTGTAATGGAACAACCGTCAAGGCCAGTATGAAGAACCATCACTGTGGTGACACTGAAAGGAACAGGAAGAAACAGGTCCCTACTTTCAGACTCTTTGAGTGGCCCCCTGTGCCAGTATGTAACAGAGGCTAGCACAGGAGAAAAGTTTGCAGGGATTCAGCCCAGCATCATAAAGCGGAATATAAAAGAGTGGGGTTAAAAGTACAGTAGCAATAAACCAGTGTGGTCCACATTTTAAAAGGGTCTCATATGATTAACATTGTTTCCTCTGCTTACAGAGAGAGTCTCTAATGCAATTGTCTTATTTCACCAAAACAAGTGCACCCTCCTCTGCAAAAGCAGCACAGGAAAGGGAATAAAGGAAAATGAGATAATTGGCCTTACTGGAAATAGAAGAGGTGTCCTGGTATTGGATCAGATATAAAGCGCAACATTGTGCTCATCTTTAACATCCTCCTTAGGCTTTTCAGTATAATTTTGTGTCTCAGGTTAGGAAAAGCCCAGTATTTTAGATTTTCATTGGCATTTGGCTATTTATAAAAACTAGTTTTCAAGGTACAGAAAAAGAATGTTCCTTGTTCTCAAGAATGACCACTATCACCCCATATTTTTTTGTAACTACTTGTTGATGAAAAGACGTAGATATTGTTGACTGGGCTGCAGCCATCAGTGACAGCTCCTACCTAGTTATTCCTACAGGTAGAATTTTTTGTTACCCAAGAGGATGAAAGTTCTAAAACCCTGACATGTTATCCCAAACCTACTCACAAAAACTTATAATGAATAAAGTTCCTTTAAAAAACTTTGTCTATTGTATATAATGGCATCAAAAGATACTACTAATATTTTAAGTGAGAAAAAAGCAACATGTACAATACAATCTCATTTTTGTGCAAATACATATAGAAAAAAGGGTCAGAAGGAAATATACCAAAATCTCTCTAGTGCTTATACCAATGTGTGGGATTATATTTACTTTTACTTTTATCATGTCTTATTTATATTTTGTATGTAACAACATAATAATAATATTAATAGCTATTATTTGTGAAGTGTAGTGCTGCTGCTGAGACTGCTTGGGTCTTAGTAGCACCATTTTACATGGAAGGAAATGAAAACATGAACAGTAATTTGCCCTGACTCCTTTAGCAGGTGGGAACAGAAGGGGATCCCAACCCCAGTCTGTCAGCCTCACAAGTCTGGAGAGGGAAATAGTTATTTTTAAAAACTGATTATAGTCAAACCTTTAGTTAAATGCAATAGACTGTTTTCTTTATTTACTACTTTTTAATGAATGTACATTGATTCAAAATTATTAGGTTTCCTACTAATTTATCCAGTCTGGCTCCTGTAAATTTCCACATTAGACTATATTAGATATATTTACCTTATGTTAAACCCTGAAAGTAGGCTTTCTTTATGCTTGGAAGCTATTTTCAAAGCCAGCTTGTGCTGCTAATGAAGCTGATAGCTGGAGAGACGTTTGTTTCGTTCTACCAAGAATTCCCTGATTCCCGCTGAGATGCTGAACACAGTCTAAGGCAGAAGACAGCTGAGGATCAAAGGATAAATCTTTATAATCTAATCTATAATAATTGACTTGTTAAGAAATTATCTCACAACTCAGAATATTAAATTGATTATAATAAACATCTGCAACTTTCCCACCACCTCTCCTCTCAATTCAGCCCTCTGTCCAGGTTGTACGGGGTTCATGAATTTTTATTTTAATGATACATGTGCTAAGGGCTTTTAACCTGGTCAGAAGCATATAAATTAACATGAATTGGTTCAAAACAAAAACACTGGCTTTTTTATAGCCTTCTTCATTAACTCCTGACTAGTTCAAGTTAATAACATAATACAAAATACATCTACAGTTCTTTGCAGACATCAAATAGATTGGGGAAAAATAGTAAATTAGCATGCCTAAAGAGTCTCATATCTAGCCATACAGAAATGAATAGAAGCAGTTTGAAAATAAGAAGAAAGCAATAACTAGGAAATGAAACTCTGAACATTCTCTGTGCTCATTCTCAATGAGAATTGATGGGAATGAATACTGCACCGTACTTTAGCCCCAGTTAATAGATGAACCTGCTTTCATCTCACTGTTAGAGGGACAGTGACTTCTTTTTTCTGATTCACTAGTGGCATGAAAATGTCTAACTGCATTTTACCTCTTTATCTTTTCAAGAGCTTAAATAAAATGCTCCATTGGCTGAGGCCTCTTTGCAACATTAAGGTATACTCCTTAAGAAATTGTTTAAGAAACTCTTTGAAAATCTTGATTTACATTTGAAGGAAGAAACTAAGCCATAGCAAAGTTTGTTAATGGTAATCACTAGCCAGCTATTCGTGAAAGAGATGTGATCTAGCCATCATTCGTTGCTGATTTACACTAGATCTGAGACTCAACTGCAGCTGTCCTCCAGCTCAAAGGATGAACCTTTACCCTTTCTGTAGATGAGAATATGTTTCCCTATTATGCTGATTCAGAGGGTTTAAGTCTAACTTAAGGCTTTACTCACATCATGGACTGTACAATAAATGTATAATCTTGTTGTGCTATTGAGAATAGGTGGAAATTTTGATTCAATGAATATTCTTGGATGCCCATGTTGTTCAGGGATTTATGAGGATGTCACAGGATATTGTAAAGAGAAATAAGACTTGCTCCCTGATCTCAAAGGTTTATAATCTAATTAGGAAGACACATGTATGCAGCTACAATTCCAGCAACATACGATCTATGAACTACCAACAGAGAAGGAAGCACAAAGCTAGCTGAGAAATTCATGTGGAAGAGATGTTTAAGTTTAGTCCTGAAGCATGGGTAGAAAGTAGAGAATAAATAATAAAGTAGGGAAATCTGTACAGAGGAAGGGATTCAAAGAAGGGGGTTCCATAGCAAGAGCAGTGTAGCAAGAACATACTGACAAGTTCAAGGGAACATGGGTAGTTTAGCTGAGCATAGGCGGCATGAAGAGATAGAAATGGAGGTAAAGATAGAACTGCAGCATACGGCTCTGATGAAGTCCTAGGAGTACAAGTTTCTGAACCTTGTTTCTCTTATCTTTAAAAATGAAGATAGTAAGATTTACCAAATTAAGCTTTCTTACAGCTTAAAGAAACGTGTGTGAAATCACTTTATAATACCTTTATAGCATGTAATGTATGATTACAATTAATCTACACAGGGCTCAAGTTATTCAATAAGAGATTGCAAGCTGATGGCCCACTGACTGTTTTGTTTGGCATGTAAATAGGAGAATTTCAAATAAAAATCTGCACTTTCAGCTTCTCTTGAATAATGCCAAAATCTGCTCCACTGGTCCCACAAACTCACATGGCAACAATGGGCTCAAGTAAGTAGCAGCTGGTCCTTAGCAAGATCATGCACTCTCCCATTTACAATGCAACAGTCCCTATTGACCAGGCCAAGAAGCCCTATGCACCCAGCCAATAGGAGAGAAAGAGAGTTTGGAGAAGTCACACCAACTTCATCGGCCTTCTCTAAGAAGTTAACACCCATCAGTTCCACTCTATGCCATTACCAAGAAATCAGTCACATGAAAATATTCTGATGCAAGAGAAAGTGGGTACATTAGTCCTTGTATGGACCACCAGAGTCAATTATATAATACCAATAAGGAGGCTAACTTGGTGAACAGCTGACCTTATATGCCACACCTGACTGTTGGACATTAGGGGATTTTTTCCAGTTTCATCTATATTCATAGATAAAAATAGAGTTCTATAAATATAACACTCTTTTACTATTTTTATTCAAGGCAGCTATTCAAGCCAAAATGATTTGAGGAATAAGGCCATAGTTGTTTTATTTTATGCATTTATGATCTCACTAAAGCAAAGTTTAAAAATATGTACAATCCCCTTTAACAACTCTATTTCATGACTAAGTAACTTCAATCACAATTTTTTCCATAGGTTTTAATCCAGACTTTGCCCTTAAATATACCAATTTTGTTACCAGCTAGTAAGTGGGAATTGCTATTCTGTGGGCCAGGCCTTTATAAAACGAAAAGCAGTTTCAAAGACCATTTGACACTCTCATCCCAGTCAGATTTATCAACTTGACATTTGTTAAAGACCTACCAAAAACCTGTCACATGGTCAATTTATTTTTTAACTTATTTTTATTATGCATAATAACTATAGCACTGTCTAAATACTGTGGTTAGAAAAGCAAAATAAAATCAATTACTTTTGTCATTGCTCCTTTTGTCACTTATGCCCACATGCTGGTTGTAATGATAACAGAAGAATGTTACTAGATCAATCACATTTTAATAAATAATTTTAAGATTTCATAATAGTGAGTCTTTACTGAGATAAATATTTGTGTCCTTAAAGGCAATTTTCTGAATAACAAGGAGACTAATGTATCTAACTGTGGTAATTTGGATCTTAAAGCCATGTTAAGTTTTCAGACTAAAAATTATTTTAAACTTCAGGTTGTGGAAGGGATAATACCAGCTCTTAAAAATCTTTTTGCACTTAATTGTTTACTTATTTTTTATTTTATTTTTTTACAGATGTGCGGGGTGGGGGGTCTCACTATGTTACTCAGGCCGGTCTCAAACACCTGGCCTCAAGTGATTCTCCCACCCCAGTCTTCAGAGTATCATTGCACTTAATTATGCCTAGCAGTCAAAGGAGCCCAGTTAAAGCACTTAATCTTTAAACTTTACCATTGCATTTAAATCCAGGCAATACTAGCCCAGGAACTATTCCAAGAGTTTTCTGTAGGGAACAGATTGTTCTACCTCTTTATCCCTGAGAAAATGGAAATTATTTCTGGCTGACTCAACAAAGGCATGATCAGTATTTCATGCTGAACTACCTGATTCAGATACAGTAGGTCTTTGAATAAGATTATTTGGTTTAACATCATTTCATTCTAACGCTGATGGAACAAGAAAAATCAATTCCTGGCCAGGCCAATGTCTGTGTGGAGTTTACACATTTTCCCCATGTCTTCATGGGCTTACCTCCAAGTACTCCGGTTCCCTCCCACATTCCAAAGATCTATACCTGCGGCTCATTGGTGTGTCTCCACGGTCCCAGTCTGAACGAGTGTGGCATGTGTGTGAGTGCACCCCGCCATGGGAGAGCGCCCTCTCCAGGGCAAGTTTCCCCCTTGCATTTATGCTGCTGAAATAGGCTTGGGCCACCCGCGACTCTGACTGGAATAAGCGGGTAAATAATTATCTTGTTTTTGTTACTCTTTTAGCTCACATTTATTTCAATGTTTAATATTAGAAGTGTTTTAGTCATTATTTAGAAGTTTGGTGATATTTCTGTGACCATAAATAGGCCATAGGAATGTAACTCTTGTTTTCATTAATTTAGCCTATGGCAAAATTGGTTTCATTATAAGTTGTTTCGCTGAAAGTCCCAGTTTTCAACAACCTATGAATGACATTAAGTAAAGATTTACTGTAGATGATTTGTAATCTGTGAAGATGCATTGATCATCCTTGATAGTTGGTCAAAAATCTAATTCTTGGCTTCAGTCTTGGCTTCAGATTTTGGAAGTTTAAAAAGCCAAATGGCCACTTGAGCATCATTTCAGTTAACCCTGAATTTGTGCCTGGTGAATGATCATAAGATGACATAGGTCAATATGTCTAGTCAGCATGACAACATCAGTAATTGCTGCAAGTCACGCCATTCTGATTTATAATTATTGTCTATATATTTACTTTCAAGTATAGATAAGTCTTCTAGAGATTAAAGTAAAAATCTCTTTATGTGCTTTATATGTCAAAATTATATCAGGGAGTTGACTTCCAAGTGTATATTTATTACTGGAAAACTCCTGAAATAATTAATGATAATTGAGTAGGCTGTTAATTTTAGAACTATTAAGAGCTTTCAAATATTAAAACTGATAAGGAAATTTATTATAGTTTAAACATTAACAGAGTTTGTTAAATAAATAATTTAGCAAGATATAAAGATAATTTAGGCTGGGCATGGTGGTTCACACCTGTGATTCCAACTCTTTGGGAGTCTGAGGAGGGAGAATCACTTGAGACCAGGAGTTCAAGGCCAGCCTATACAACACAGGGAGACCCCGTCTCTACAAAAAATAATAATAATAATAATAATTTTTTAAAAATTAGCCAGGTGTAGTGGTGCATGCCTGTAATCCTAGCTACTTGAGAGGCTGAGATGGGAATCTCTCTTGAGCCCAGAAGTTCAAGGCTACAGTGAGTTATGGTTGTGTCATTGCACTCCAGCATGGGCGACAGAGCGAGACCCCAACTCTAAAAAAAAAACAATGCCTGAAGAGTCTCTATGAGTTATAATCTAATTGTTTGGTATATAAGCATGAATAGCCTGCTTCTTAGGATTGTTAGGAAAGGGAGAAAGATGCTTAAAGGGAATGTAGAAGGATACCAAAGACAAATTAAGTCCATCTTATAATTTTACCTACAGCCAGTCCTGGTAAAGTTTTGCATGAGTTGATGAAGTTACCCTATTCTTGGAATTAAAAATATTTGTTTTTAATGACCAATAATGAATCTGTAGACATTGGCTCATTTTATCAACTGTCCCAAGAGAAATTGAAAGACTGCCATGGCAATGATCCCTAAAATCTACTGGAGGTATGAAGCTAAACTAAAGACCTTGCTAAACATATGGTGATTCTTCAAGGCAATCCAGATTCCAAATATTCTGTCATTCCCATGGACAAGTTCTCTTTCTGATTCTGAAAGTATGATTCCTGTGACCAAAAGGTAGGGAAAGGCTAAAGCTGGATTGAGACTTTTTCAGATTTATGGTCATTATCTGGGAGAAATATGGTGCAGCCATTTCTACACTCTGTGAAGTTTCAAGAGATGCAGAAAGGACACTTTCTCCATGAAATTAGTTGGTTTTAAGGGTTTCCTTGATGAGGCAAAATGCAATAAATTTCTTAAATATAATGCATGCTAAGTATAAAAAATAAAAGGATAATTAAGACCCTGTCCCTATCCATAGCCTAAAGGATTTATGAAACTTTCTGATTCAGCTCAACACCTCATGATCTTTAAATTGTGTAGACTAAGCCCGGTAACAAACAATCCCCAAATCTCAATGGCTTAGACAATTGATTTCTTTCTTATGTCACAGTTCACACTGTTGTCCAACAGGAAACCTGCCATGTGGTGATTCAGGGACTCGGGCTGCTTCCCTCTGGTGGTTTCAGCACTTTCTTCTAGCATCTTAAAGTCATCCCCTAGATCCTCAGCGTCTAACTAGAAGACAAGGGAAGAGGGAAATGTGGAGGATCTCATGAAATGTATAGGAGCCAAGCAGGCCTACAAGGAGTGTACATCACTCCTGCTCACATTCCATTTGCCAGAACTCAGTTCCACAGTCCCACTTACCTACAGGGAAGGCTGAAAATGCAGTTTATCTAAATGCCCAAAAGGAAAAAGAAATAGGTTTGATGAACAACATAGCATTGTTTCAGCCACATTCAACACTTGAAAATCCATACTTTGTACTTTCCAGATTAAATTAGACACTAAATGGCCAGGCGCGGTGGCTCATGCCTGTAATCCCAGCACTTTGGGAGGCCGAGGCGGGCGGATCACAAGGTCAGGAGATCGAGACCATCCTGGCTAACACGGTGAAACCCCGTCTCTACTAAAAATACAAAAAAATTAGCCAGGCGTGGTGGCTGGTGCCTGTAGTCCCAGCTACTCGGGAGGCTGAGGCAGGAGAATGGCGTGAACCCGGGAGGCGGAGCTTGCAGTGAGCCAATATCGCACCACTGCACTCCAGCCTGGGCAACAAAGCAAGACTCTGTCTCAAAAAATAAAATAAAATAAAATAAAATAAAATAAAATAAAATAAAATAAAATAAAATAAGACACTAAACTAATCAAGCATACCATCTTGAAATAAATATTTTTCTAAAATATTTTTCTAAAAATTCCTGTTACAATGAATTACTATTCTCCAATTTTTACTACCTCCAGTAGATTATACCTCTACTTTCTTTGCCACGTGCCTCCTACTGTGGGCAGCCTATTCTTCCACAATCCATCAACAATGGGTTTAACCATGTGACTTTTTTAAGCCAATGAATGCAGGCAGACAAGAGCAGAGGCTTTAAATCTGTTTACCTGGTTTGGTTTGCTCTCTTGCCATCCTGGGATCCATCATGATGAGGGCAAACCCCAAGTTGTTGCTGCCCCTTCCACCTGGACCTCAGAAAGAAAACACAGGTAACACACCTGAACTTGAAGTCCAGCTTGGCCCAGCCAAGCCAAACCTAGATCAACCAATCCTCATCCAAACGGCAGACCCATGATCATGGATACAAAGATTTATTATTGAGATTGTGAGGTTATTACATGGCAAAAATGAAATATTATCATTCCCATGTTTACATACATTATAACCCAATGCAGCAGGTTCGATAATAGTTGGTTGTCTCACTGAAAGTTTTTGAAAGCAAAGAATTATTCTTCTTTATCCAGTTACTAAAATTCAAAATGATGGGTTTTGTGACCCTCGGTGAGAAAATAGACTGTCCTTTAAAGTAAAATTTTATTTTCTCAACAAGTATCCAAGATTTGACATAGGAAATACAGGCTGAGCATCCATAATCTGAAAATCCAATATCCAAAATTCTCTGAAATCCAAAATTTTTGAGCACTAATATGACTCTCAAAGGAAATGCTCATTGGAGCATCTCAGATTTGGGGTTTTTGGATTAGGGATGCTCAACCAATAAATAATGCAAATATTATAAAATCCAAAATCAAAACAATTTCTGATCCCAATCATTTTGGATAAGGAATACTCAACTTGTAATATAAATGATTTATTAACAAATGTTTCAAAATTTAAATATCTAAATGATTGTTATCTTTCAAAGATCTGGGAAGTTTACATGCTTGTTCCAACTACACTACCATTACTAAAAACATTTTCCATTTTTTGTTGTCATTGCCATTACTTTTAGGGATGCGATATATTTATTATCTCATTTTCAGATAAAATAGATCTATTTTCAGATGAAAAAATGAGATAATAAATGTGTCACATCTCTAAAAGTAATGTCAATGATGAGAAATGGAAAATGTTTTTAGCAATGGTAATGTTTTTAGTAATGGTAGTAAGGCAGAGAGAGGTTATATAATTTGGCCAAGCCACTGGGAAAGAATCAAGATTTGAATACAGATAGCTTGATAAAAGATCTGATATTCTTGACCACAACACTATACTTTTTCAATAAAAACTCCTAATGCAAAATTTCCCACTTGGGTAAGTTTCATTTCAGGTCATAATAGAGTAATTGGGACATTTACCCTCACGCCCTAAACAACTTTGAAAACAGACAAAATGTATGAAACAATGGACATGGGACACTGGGCAAAAGACAACACCCAACAGTGATCCCAGAAAGAAAGAAAACATATGAGGTTAACCAAAGAATTGCCACAGCTCACTGCCTACAGGGCTTCCCGACCGCAGCTCAGGACGAGGCTCCCAAACAGAGCCCGGCCGTCTCCCTGAGCTGAGAAGATGGAGTGCAAACTTCGGGGAAGCCGAAGTGTCTAGAATTTGTGGGGCTGTGTACTAGAGAGAAGAGAGCTCTGGGATTATCAGAGGGTCTCCCTGGGATCTCCTCAGAGGGTTCCACTAGAATCTTCAACTAAGTAGTGATCAGTGCATGTGTGTGTGAAGAAACTCCCAAAAGCCAAGACACAACCACTCAAAAGGAAGAGGCAGAACGATTCCCCAAGATCTCACAGGGCTGGAAATATTTACATCTCCCCTACCCCAGCCAGAGTGGAAAGACCTCCTAAGACACGAGCATCAAGTATTCCTCCAACAGGTATTACCTCAGTAGTGGCGCCAAAATATGCCCTGATGAAACGCTGTTCTAAAAACCCTACATGCAGGCTTCAAAGGATCCAATTGTTTCCAAGTAACTTAACTGCATCTCAGAACAAAGGTCAAAAATATTTTAAGTAATGCAAAAAACTTCAGCATGCAAAAACATAAGATTCACAATGTCTGATATCCACTTAAAATTGCCCACATATATGCAAAATCACTCAAATCCAATAAAATGACCATGAAAATCAGTAGTTCCTAAAGGAAAATTACCCAGAATACTCTGAAGATTTTCCAAAGAAGAAATGAAATTAGAGATCACATCTGAGGCAAAGGTGAGTTAGCAGGAGCAAAGGGTTCTTTCTTGGGTCTTGAGGCCTGAACATGTCACAGGAGAGGAGAGGAGAAGAACATAAATCCTTTCATGTATGGGTAAAAATTATCAAGAGCTTATAGCATCTCTGTCACTAAGAATATAAAATATTTAGCTTTCCTCCCAGCCTTTTTCACTAAAAAATTCTCTAAAGGAAAGATTTTAAACTATGTAAGACATTGATTTCCACTCACTTTTAGCCTATCTTTGCTTTCATTTACTACCAGTGTGACATAGAAGGAAAAGCTCATTATTAAATCCAAAAAGACTTTGCATCTGTGAACATTTTTAAAAGAACACTGTGAAATCTCCAGAATACTTAGTATATGCAGTGGACTGAATGTTTGTGTATACTCTAAAAATTTATATGTTGAAATTCTAACCCCCAATGTGATAGCATTAAGGTTGGGGCCCTTAGAAAGTGATTCGGTCATGTGAGTGAAGACCTCATGGTAGGATCAGTGCCTTTACACCCAGAGAGCTCTGTCCTTCTTTCAACCATGTGGGGATACAAGAAGTTGGCAGTCTGCAAGCCAGAAGAGGGCTAATCAGAACCCAGCTGTGTTGGGACCTTGATCTCAGACTTCCAACCTCTAGAACTATGAGACATAAATTTCTGTTGTTTATAAGCCACTCAGTCTATGGTGCTCTTGACTGAAACAGTACAGCTAGACACAACAAACAAGATGGAGGCTGAGACAGAATCAATCACAACTGAGACAGTAACATTTTATATCAAATCATTCATACAGTGTTTAAGAAAACTCTCAGAGATGGGTTTACAAGCATAGATTAAAAGGTTGATAAACTTCAGCAGTATGCTTTACTGGGGAATTTGTTCAGTAGATATGCCAAAAGTCATTGGCTCTAATGAAATTAGAGATCACATCTGAGGCACAAGGGTCCAAAATATTATATCACCCCCGTTAGCTTTTGAGGACAGAAATTGTTTGGCTGACTTTATTCTAATCCTGCTGCCTGTTTATGTTATATTAGTATCTAAAACTTCAACTTATGTTGCTTTTATTTTACATCATCTGCAATCATAGAATGAAAGTAATTATTACTCCCTGAGGCTCAGTTATTTGCTAACATTTCATAGTAGTTTTGTATAGTTCAAATAATAAATCCTTCACAAAAATTATCAAGCCTTATCTCTCCAGCTATTTGAAGTGATTGCTCCTAAACTACATAATGTTTAGCTATTGACAACACCTGGAAGTGAAACAAGAAGGGGCAGGTTGTCCTGTCAGCAAAACACAGAGATGTTGATTGGAGTGAATGAATGAGTCTATTCTATTTTTTCTTATACAAGCATTGATAGCGCTACACAGAAACCGATTTTGCTCTTATGGAAGCTTACTGAGGGAACTGAGCAGAACCCTGACATTATATAAAGAACAGTCCATGAAGCTTGTATCTTATAATGATGGTTGTTTAATTCAATTTCATATTTACTGAACTCTGATTATATCTGGAAAGTATGCCTTCAAGAGGTTGTCAGTCTCATGAAGCAGACATTGAGTAAGGAAATAATTACAACATGGTACGTGTAAAACTAAAGCGCTATGGGGAGTATTGAAGCCAGCAGAGGTGAGAGGCATCTGGCTTCACCTGAGAGAGGGAAAGGGTCTCAGAGGAGATTAAGCTGAACCTCGAAAATTAAAAAAGAAATTGCAAAATGGGTAAGTATAGAGGGGGGATTAGAATTCCAGACAAAGAGAACAGGACATATAAAAGCCCAAATGTGTGAGAGAGCTCAGCCTGTTAAGGGGGCCACGAATACACACACAGTGATGAAACATCGGGAAGGAGGACTGCCCAGGAGAAACAAGTATGGGAAGGGAGTGAAAGGATGTTGTGGGCTTAAAGAGGTCAGGAGGAGCTAAATCATAAAAGGCCATGCCCACCAAGATGAAGAACTTGCCTTCATTATAAAAGTTATGGTACACCACTAAGGATTTTCTGTAGGGGGGTAACATGATGGGATTCACATTTTAGAGACAATTCTAGCAGTAGTGTGGAAGGAAAACTGGAAGCAGGGCTGCACTAGGATCAGAAAGACTATTTGGGGGCTGAATGCCATAATTCAGAAGAGAGGCTGAGGACTTGAACTAAGGCAGTAACAGTAGAAAAGAAGGGAAGGGAGTGGATGAAGAGATATGCATGGGTTACAATCAAAATTATTTGGTGATTGGTTAGACAGGGTTAGCAAAAAGAATCAATGCTAACGTCCAACTTTCCAGCTTGTGTTACTTTGGAGGGATGATGGTACCCCCTGATAAGGTAGGGAAAAAACAGGATGTATTTCTTTAGGCTATACACTGGGATTGCCAGGTAGGAATGCTCAATCAGCAGTGAATATAGCGCTTTACACATAGAGAAGGTGTTAGGGCTAGAAATGTTTGTCTGTGTGTCTTCTATATTACAGAAGAGAGTTAAAAGCATTAAGAGTAGAAAATCCTTAGTGGTGTCCCATGACTTTTATAATGCAGGCAAATTCTTTATCTTGGTAGTCAAGGCCTTTTACGATTTTGATCCTCCTGACCTCTTAAAGCCTACAACATCCTTCCATTCTCTTCCCATTTTTGTCTCTCCTGGGCAGTCCTCCTTTTTAATGTTTTATCACTGTGTATTTGTGAGGGCCTAGAATAAAAAGAGACAGTCAGTGACAACTCTCTGATAACCTCAATATTAAAAGATGTGACCAAAGAAAAGCTACCTAAGACAGAGATTCATTTCCTATCTCCCAAGGATGTATTTCATTAGGTAGAATGCAATAAAAATTGTATGCATAAATAAGTATAATTATATGCATGTATGTATTTTGTGAATTCATAGGTGTAATCAAAATCTCAAAATAGGGTATTTGACACTCAAAAAAATATTAAGAGCTATCCATCTCAGATAAAGCCATAGGAGGAGAAACAGGAAAGAGTAGTAATGATAGTCAAAAAAGTTCAATTATTTTCCTCTAAAAAAATAATTATAGGTGACAATTAAACTGTGATTTCTCCAGTGGAAAAAGTTTAGAGCAAGATGATAACAAGGGAAGAGAAAGCAGGCACAGAAGTGTCCTGCCATTGGGACCGACTTCTCTCTACCCATCTTCAAGTTCAGATATAATTAGAAAAGGAAAACATGATTGCCCAGTACACACCTGCACTGAGCATAAATGAAATGGAAATCTCATGAGCACAAGTTGACCTGCCTTTATAAAAGAAGAGCCTAAGTATGTATATTTTATTTTAAGAACTAGAAAAATGTGCAGATGCTACAAAACTGACTAAAAAATAGATGCTGTCACACAATATACCCATGTAACAAACCTGCACATGCACCCCCGAATCTAAAATAAAAGTTAAAATTTAAAAAAAAAAAGACAACCAAACAAAAACTAGATGCTAATCCCCCAATTTTGTTTAATCACTATACTTCCTGAATAATTATTAATTTATTTTCTTCTCTGGCCCACCTGGAAAGCCCTTTACTCTCCTTATGTAACATGAATCATGTTTTCTCCTGGCTCTTTGTCCTGCCAGCTTGTTCATTTTAACAAAGATGAGAAGACAAAGAACATTTTCTCTTAAATTTCATTTCATTTTCATTTTATTTGTGTGGTTCAATAAAAAAGGAAAAATGATTGGTGTTTGGGACTTCGTGAGAGAATGAACAGCTGGAGCAGAACATGATTCAGGGGCTTGAGAATCTATATCTCAGCCATCCTCCATCTGTCATCTGCCTAACTAGCTATACTCTATCCAGGTTACTCCCAAAATGTTTCTTTCCTCATCTATCTCCCACCAGAACATAAACTCCATGAAGAGAAGGACTTTTGTGTGCTTTGTTCACCATTTGTTCCCAGTCACTAGAACAACTTGTACTTGGAACACATGGATGCTTTTTAAATAAGTAATATTTGTTGAATAAGAAGTAAGTAGATACTTTCAGGATGTCATCAGAAGGAAATCTATCCCCAAGAAAAATTACTGCCATGGTAACCTCTGATGACCATGGATTTCTTTGTGTGCTTTGAAATTTCGCTTTGTGCTCTTATCTTGCATGAGGGTGTTTACCCCATTCAGGTGTTTCTCTTGGAGTGGTTTTGAGGTTGCCTCAGCCTGGCCCTCTGGGCTACCCAGACATTAACCAAGTTAGAGGGTTGGGGTTGTTGCCCCTTACAGGAAAGATAGTCTCAAAATCTCCACCCACAGGCAGCTCAAGCATCCTCCCCATTTTGACTCAAATGCCTGTCTTTCCCACTGGAGCTACCAGCATGGGTCTGTTTCTAGCTGCAACACAGGTAATGTGGCTTATACTCCTTGTCCAGTACTAACATCAGTTTGTCCCTACTCGCCACTATCCATTCCTGATCCACTGTTCTTCCTCTTGTTCTTAAGCTCATATATGTACTTTAAAATTTTTTTAAATACTTGTTTTCAATTATTCCTATGTCTCGGGAATAGAGTGGAGAAGATCATATGATATACCATCTTGAAGTCACCTTAAGTTTTTGAAACTCAAAAAATTGGGAAGGTAATTGATTCTCTTTTCTCTCTGAAATTATTTAATGAAAAATACCTACTTATATTGTCTATATTGGTCGGCTTTCTGAGAGGTAGATTTTTTTCTTTCCAGAAAACCATAATCAGTGGATTGTTCTAATGGTGAACTTTGTTTTCCTAAAATTAACTGTAGTTGATTCCTTATTTATTTGGTAAATACTTATATGACACTATGTGCCAGTCATTGTTCTAAGTATTTACAAAAATTAACTTATTTAAGGATAGTAGTAGATTGTGTTCAAAAATGGCTGCAACAGTTCCTCTCATCCCTGTATGGATATCCCTTTACAATTTGATGTCATCGTCCTTCCCATTAAGAACTAGCCTCTTTCTCCATCCCCTTAAATTGAGCCCCCTAGTAACTTGCTTTGACCAATTAAATGCAGCAGAAATTACAATATGTAACTTCCAAATCTATGCCTCCAGAGGCCTTACAGTGCCTGTTCTTGACCTTCTTACTCTCCTGAAATTGCCATATAAAGGAGCCTAGAGGCAAAACTTAAACTGGGCATGGTGGCTCATGCCTGTAATCCCAGCACTTTGAGAGGCCAAGGCAGGTGGATCACCTGAGGTCAGGAGGTCAAGACCAGCCTGGCCAATGTGACAAAACCCCATCTCTACTAAAAATAGAAAAATTAGCCAGGTGTGTTGGCGGGTTCCTGTAAGCCCAGCTACTTGGGAGGCTGAGGCAGGAGAATTGCTTGAACCCAGGAGACAGAGATTGCAGTGAGCTGAGATATTGCCCAGGCTGGAGTGCAATGGCGCTAAGAGTGAAACTCCGTCTCAAAAAACAAAAAAGAAAAAGAAAAAGAAAAGAAAAGAAACCACATGGAGAAAGAGACCCAACCAACAGCCAGCACCAATTGTCAGACATGTAAGAGAGACCATTGTGGGCCACCCAGCCCCAAATGTGGCCTGCAGCCACACAAATGCCCACAGTCAGACTAGCAGAACTGCCCAGCTGATCCTGGCTGAACAAATTGCCAGCATGGGATTATAAGTGATAATTAATGTAAGACTCTAAAATTTGGAGTGGTATGTTATGAAATATTAGATAATTGATATAATTGTTGTTATTCAAAGACTACATCAATTATTGCATTCCATATATCAATATTTTATTTAAAATTTTAGAACTATGTCCTAAATTAGATTGACACAGTTTTCTTTCTCATGATACAGCTTTGTTTAGTTCGATATTACATTTTATTAGACTTATAAAATCAGAGCGATAATATCTAACTTCTTCTATTCTATAAAACTGTTTAAGTAGCATAAAATTACCTATTTCTTTTTTTGTTTTGTTTTTTGTTTTTTTGGTTTTTTTTGAGATGGAGTCTCATTTTGTCACCCAGGCTGGAGGGCAGTGACCCGATCTCAGCTCACTGCAACCTCTGCCTCCTGGGTTCAAGCGATTCTCCTGCCTCCCAGATAGCTGGGATTACAGGTGCCCACCACCACGCCCAGCTAATTTTTGTGTTTTTAGTAGATACAGGTGTTCACCATGTTGGTCAGGCTGGTCTTGAACTCCTGGCCTCAAGTAATCCACCTGCCTCGGCCTCCCAAAGTGCTGGGGTTACAGGCATGAGCCACCATGCCCAGCCAAAATTACCTGTTTCTTAAAGATTTGTTAGAACTTATTCATAAAATTGTCTGAGCTTGGTGGCTTCATTCACCATAAATATCTTACTAGCTTTTCAATATGTTTTTAATGTATTATTTCCTTTTTAGTCTATTTATTCTATTTTATTTGTATATAGTTAACAGTGAGATTTTCCATTTCTTAACCTGTTGAAATACTATAAATATTGGGATTTTTATTGATTTAGGAAGTTAACAAAGAAAATCTAAAGCCATGACATTTTTCTTGTTATCAATTATCCTAATGCTGACTAAAATAATTTAAGCAACAGGGATATTTTAAATAATTTCATTGATGCTAATCAAAAGGTCTGTGTTATGCCATTTTAAAATACACCAGTAGGTGGAACTCTGATAATAACTAAATAATCTTTGTTAGTATTACCTGTCTCTGTTCCCTGCACTATTCTCATTTTGTATGTTGAAAAGAACAAAATACATGTATCCTGAAATCAAGGGGACATTATATAATAATTTATGGAAGTATATTATTCAGGTAGACATTAAAATGTAGTACTTAGAAAAATACCAAATATTCAACTAGATGAATAAAAAGAAAATATATCAACAAAAACTCTATTAATATATTTATGTACTTCAAATGGATACAATTTGTGTCTAAAAATAGGAAAATGATTAAATAAATTACAATATGTTTATACAGCAGAATATTAAAATATAAAGCATTAAAAATGATATAATTAAATACTTTTTAATGCTCAGTATAAAAATACAAAATTAATTTTATCTAATTTTTATAAAAATTACACATATACATAACATGGAAAGATAGCAACATATTGATATTATTTCTTGATGGTGATTTTCATCATCTTTTTGCACATTTTTTAACATCCAAATTCTCTTGAAGGGGACTGATTTGCTTTCATAATCAAAAGAAAATTTTTATTTACAATGTGATTGGCATTCTTCTTACAGTCATATCTCATTAGCAATATATAAATACCAAATTAATGAATGATATTGGGCAATGACCTTAAAATCCTGTCCTGGGATCTGCTTATTCATGGCAATATATAAGTTCAGACCCAAAGGGGGTGAAAAAGAGAGACCCAAAGAAGGGCAGATGGCTGTGGAAAGGGATAGAAAGATGCTTAATCACCCCTCCCTCTTTCCTCCTTTAATATGGTTCACTTGTCCCTCAAAACACATGAATGCATTTGTACGTGCCCACAGCCTTAATGATGGGAGGAGACTTTCCCAGGTTTCTCCCTGCAGGTGGGAAGACAGAAAGCTCTGTGGCCTGAGCACCAGGGCTGTGGCTGGCCCCAGAGCAAGAGATAGAGGGGATCCCAAAACCTTCTATTACAGAATCTGTCTGGGAGCCACCACAGCCTTTCAACAGCTGGTTGAGCTGCATTGAAAAGATCAAGATTACTGAGGATATTTATATCACTTTGATGGATACTTTTGTTAAAAAGACATATTATGTAGAAGGGCTTGGTCAGAAATCATTGCATTTTTGTTTTGTGTAGGACTTTATCCTTTGCCACTTTGAGGCAGGCACTCTGGTTTTTCTTGAGAGCAGGTGCTCTGGGCTCTGCTCCCTGGGCTGGTGGGAATGAAATGAGGACACCACAGGACAGCACACTGGTTCCCAGAGGAGACGGGAGGTAAAAGACTGAGAGGATGAGAATGAGCGAAGGACAAGCACTCCACACAACTCCAGTGGGAAGGTGGCCAGGGCAAGAGCATGGGCAGCAGCATAATGTCTGTCATTTTATATTTTTAGTCACTTTTTTAAAAGTATAATTTACATAGAATAAAATTCATCAATTTTAAGGTTACATTTGATGAGTTTTGACCATTTCCATCATTTCTGAAGGGTGCCACTTCAGAAACACCCCCTCATGCCACTTTGCAATCACTCTCCCTTGTATTTTACATTTTAGATGGACACAATGATGACACATCCCAAAAAGAAAACTATGACTCAAGGTTGACAAGAACAAAGGTAGTCATGGGAGTAATACGATATGTGAACTTGAGACTGTCCCCAAAACCTGGGCCATCAGGATATCATACATATGAAGACTAGGTGGTTTTAAGTCTGGAAAAGTAGAGAAATAGTGACAGTAGGAGAAAGTGAATCCTGCCCTGGGATCTGCTTGTTTATAATTACAAAGGCCATTAACAAGCAGATCCCAGGGCAGGATTTTAAGAAGGTCATAAAGGAGATGGGAGCGGAAGGGAAAAGTGAATAAAACGGAGGCTGGAGAGAGTGGTGGTGGCGGGAGCAGGAAGAGAATAGGCCAGAACAGTACTACCTACTTTTAATTTTAATTTTTTGTTTCTACCTTTTCTGAAATAATCCAAATAGTGAGATTGATATGGGGAAGACACTGAAAATAAAGCAAAAAAAAAAAAACTAGGCTGAGCACAGTGACTCACACCTGTAATCCCAGAATGTTGGGAGACCAAGGCAAGAGGATCTCTTGAAGATAAGAGTTCGAGGATGCAGTGAGCTATGATCATGCCACTGCAATCCAGGGCAACAGAGCAAGCCCGTATCTCTAAAACAGGGTTTAAAAACGAAAATAACTGAGGTAAGAAGGAGGAGAAATGAAGGGGAAAATCCATTATTTCTTGGTTGTTCTCATTAAAATCCTGAGTTAATCTATTTCCCATGCACGTCTAGTAAGGTGATGTTTTGAAATACTCAGTTTTTGCTTTGGAGCCTCTTTCCCAGTGGTTCTCATTCTTTCTTGTGTGCATGTGTGGCAAACTTTCAAATACCAGGATTTTAGTCAGCACACCAGAAAGGACGAATCTGTTCCCACTGTGCTCACCACGGGCTCAGGCCACCCACAACACGCAGACACATGTTTTTGTGTGAAAGTCGGCTGCCTGCCCTCACTCGGACCCCAGGCTTCTACATCCTCTAGAGGAAAGGACTCCATGTCAACACACCTTCTTTCTTTGGCACCAAGAATTAAACCATGCCTCCTACCTCTCACTCAGAGCAAACTGCAGCCTGCTCCACTCTCTCAGCTCTCCCTTCCTCTGACAAACATCATCTTAAACATGTCTGCTCAGTTACAGCAAAATTAACTCTACAAACTGACCAACACTGGTTTGCTTTCTTGTACAGGGCTTCTAGTACAAAAGTGCCCCTTGGCATCCTGAATGACTCTTCCCTTCTTGTCATGCTATTCTCCCCACGTTTACCATCTTACTTCTCTTGCTTTGGCACCCTCATGGAATTTTTTTTCTTTTCTTTTCTTTTCTTTTTGAGACAGCCTTGCTCTGTCACCCAGGCTGGAGTGCAGTAGCACGATCTCAGCTCACTGCAACCTCCACCTCCCAGGTTCAAGTGATTCTCCTGCTTCAGCCTCCCAAGTAGCTGGGATTACAGGTGCATACCACCACGCCTGGCTAATTTTTGTATTTTTAGTAGAGATGGGGGTTTTGCCATGTTGGCCAGGCTGGTCTTGAACTCCTGGCCTCAGCCTCCCAAAGTGCTGGGATTACAGGTGTTAGCCACTGCGCCCGGCTGAATACCTAAGCTGCACAAAGTTCACCAATGCGGTGTTCTACCACCAATACTTTTCTCATCCTGGACACTTCTCCAGGCCCTGGACTTTCCTAATTCCAGTCATCAGTTTGACTCATATCCCATTCTTGGCCTTGCTCTTATGCTAGAAAAGTGGGGAGCACATGGTAAGGTATTCCTGGAACCGTGTGTTTTCCTACACAGTAACAGTTTGCATTTTAACAGGAACTCTTTAGAGTGCCTGAAAGTCTAGTAAAGCAGTGGATCCTAACCAGGGGGATTTTGCTCTTAGGAGACATTTAACATTTGGAGACATTTCTGGTTGGCCACTAGAGGATGGAGAAATGCAACTGGCATCTAGTGGGTAGAAACCAAGGATGCTGCTAAACATCCTACAATGCACAGAACAGTCCCCCACAACGAAGAATTATCTTATCTAGCCCGGATTGTCAGTAGTGGCGAGGCTGAGAAACTCTGCCTTAAAGAAATGGCTCAGACAGTGAAGATAAAAGACTCTGTGGAAGGCTGGTAAAAGGAAATATTTTGAGGCAGTTGAGGTTTATGGCATTCTTCAGTGCATACTTATTTAGGACTATTGTATTCCCAGCAACAATGACACAGTCTAAATTCTGCCACTGTTACTTTTCAGTATGAAAAAATCACCTTTGAATTACCTCATAGCCCCAAACTCTCACTGAAAACAAGAGTCATCCTAGCCATTGACAATACCACAGCGCGGCTGCTTCTAAAATATTTTTCCTCAGAAACAGAGTGACACAAGCCTTTTGCAGCACCTCATGGTAGGACACTGGACCAGCACCTGCCTCTAGCTCCAGCCTATTATCTGGCTATTTTTCTGAGTTGCTCTCTTACTGAGCATATGATTCAATTCATATTAAACCCATCTGTGTCACAAGGAATATCATAATGTGTTTCTATTATATAAACAGAAAAGGCATAATATTCCAATATCCTTAATAGATTTGGCCCTAAAACTGGAAAATGATGTATTTTGCAAATATATTCACACTAAAACTGAGAACCGCAAGCCATTTCTTGACCCTGAGCTGATGATGCATATTTACACTTCAAACCTGTGGCGAAAAACCTCACAGCACCATTTGATGTTTACACGAAAATGGACTTCAAAGACTGCGCTATGTTCCTGTTCATTCTATGGGCACCGATTTCCAGCAGAATGTGATTATACCTCTGATTACCTATGCCTATTGTCATGGCAGTCCCATCTAAAGCTTTTTTAGAATTTAATAATCGTCTTTTGTTGACCAGAATAATAGTGCAGAGCGCCTGCTGCACACGTGAAACAGCCGTGCACAATACCCGCAAGTAAGTGGCTAGGGTAATTGAAAAACAGACTAAGTCCACTGGACTTTTATAATGAAATAAACTATGAATAGAAGAATAAAATATCATCAATGGCTGGATGTGTATTGTTACTTTGAAGCCTTTCCCCGCTACCACCATCATCAGATCAGAGTAGATGCTAACACCCACTACTTTAAATAATTATTGGATTATTTTTTCTCATTATTTATCACTCAGACTGTTCTGAACACCACCCCACTTGATGTTATAATTAGTTCTCTGGCAAACCTTTTGCAAAATAAATGGTTCCACTTTTGTAGTAATAGAGGTATGGAAATGGCATACAGAAAGCAGGGGAAACAATTTGGTCTCCATTGCATGTGCCAGGAAATGAAGTCGCGTTTGAATATTGATCGTGGATTTAATAAATCATGTTTCTCAAATTTGCTTGGAAATTATGAAATTAGTAATATATATTAGACGCAAAACATTGTCACCAAACAGGCTTACTACCATTTCAGATCTAGGTCCCACTAAGGATTCAATTAATAAATGTCACAAATGGTCATTGAGATGAGCGCATGTATTAATAACTAAATAAACTTACCTCTTTTTCATTGCAATGAGTAAATTTATTCATGAGACAACTATTTCTGAAGCAGTGGTTAGAAAGGAAGCCAAGTCACCAGTTAGTTACCAATGTTACTAAATAAAATATAACACCGAGAGAGACTTTGGAAATAATATTTTTTCAGCTCATTTTACAGTCAAGAAACCTAAACCCCACAGAAATTAAGCAATTTTTTAAAGCCACACAGTTAGGTAAGAGCAGAAATTTGTTTTCAATAATTAAGAGGGATAAGTTGAACTTCTAGTGAATTGGTGTTAAAGAACTTTGAACACTTCAATAAGAAAGATTTCAAAGACATACAAAATGTATTCAAATTTGTCAATTATTTGGTGTGCAAGTTAAATGTTCTTCTTACTACTTCAAGGTCTTATTTTCTGATCTTGAAACTCCATTCATCCTGCTTGCTCCCATTTTGATCACGTCATTTTTGCATTAAAAAATATTTCAATGACTCTGCATTTTCTACAGATAATAGATTAACTTCTTAACTTGGCTTTCAGGGGCTCTTTCCATCTGGCCCTGACCCACCCCTGCTCACTTATCATCAGCTACTCCACTCCGTGAAATCCTCTGGTGGATCCAGAAGGCACCATTCATATTTTGGTCTGCGCATTCTTGTCACTCCAATATCACCTACATAGAATGCTTGCCCCTCACCTCTCTGCCTATCTCAAGGACCAATGCCAATGCATATCCTGTCCCTGGCCCTCTTCCCTCTCTTGCCCACAGAGGACATCGCTGGTTCTCCATAGCACTCTCCCCACTGAAACCAGACACATCCCCAGAATGTGTCAACAGAGACTTCCAGGCAACCATGCTTACTGAAGCCAGTTTGTCATTCCTTGTCAGATCTCTGGTCTTCCATGTCTGGCTCAAGCACCCTGTCCCTTATTCAGTTTCTCTGAATATCCAAACTCATGAAACTCTCTCCATCCTCTGAAGTCATATTGTGTGCAACTCTTGTTTAGGAATTATTTACTGCCTAACTTCTTGGTCACAAATTTCCTGAAACCAAGGACCATTTGTTTCATTTTTAGTAACTACATGGTAATATGCACATAATAACTGCTTGATTAAAACTATACCATCAGCAATGTGTGGTATATGATGTATGTGTATTCATGTATTTTGAATATTAAAATTAATTGTCTGAACTGGTAAATATTTAGGTAGAATACTGATTAGAAGAAAATGTTTAATGTTTATTTGTTATTGGAAAGAAGGAAGATTACCTTCTATTAATTATCTATGTATGATACCCATATGTTTTTTATGCTTATTGATTATGTAATCAGTATGCTCTTAAGAAAAAAGTTGAGCAGACAAAAAGTCACGTTCTTCATACCACTATCATTAAATTAACTCATTTCCCAAGTGCCCATTACCACTTCATAGCAAAAACACTTCTGCTGGCTAATTCAAAGTCACCCAGTCTTTTCCAGTGTAAACTTGAACTCTGAAGTTTTTTCCCACTCCCATTCAGCTCCTGGCTCCTGCTCTTTTTTCCCTCTTGGCATCTGGGTTGTGGAGCAGCTTCCATGGCAATGACCACATGAGGGTTTGCAGGAGGGGCATGTAGTTCTGCTATGGCCTGAATGTTTGTGTACCCCCAAAATTCCTAGGTTGAAATAATAACCCACAAGGTGATGATGATAGAAGGTGAAGCTTTCGGAGGTGATTATGTCATGGTGGTAGAGCCCTCATGATGAGATTAATGCCCTTATAAAAGAATCCAAGAGATCCCTCATCACTTCAGTCATGTAAGGACACAGGAAGAAGGCATCAATTATAAACCAGACAGCACACTCTCAACAGACACCTAATCTGCCTTGATCATGAACTTTCCACCCTCCAGAAATGTGAGAAATAACTTTCTGTTGTTTATAATCTACCCCAGTTGTGGTGTTTTTTTATAGCAGCCTAACCATACTAAGACAGGCCCCTGTGCAGCTTCTGCTTTATCTGCTTTATCTGGCCTCCACTGAGGGGCCTGATTAGATTTGGACCACAGCATCTTTGTTCACTGCATCTTTGCTAAAGTCTTCAACCCTCGTGTATAACCTTCAGGCCTCAGGCCACACAGTCTTCATCAAACTGTTCCAACCACATGACTCTTAACTAGGGACATCAACTCTCGGCCACTTCCACAGCACTTTCTGGGATTAAGGGTAGGGCTGGAACACTCAGGGCTTTCCACACACATTGGTGTTTGAGGGACTGTAATTTGAGGTCCTCTGGGGCCTATCTCTCTATACATATTCCCAGCTTTTTTTTTTTTTTACTGTTCTTTTCTCTCCTATATTCCATCCTTCTGTCTTTTTGTTTTCCTTACCCCAAAATATACTCAAATTTATCATCCAATCCATCTTGTGAAATTTTTACTTCTATATAATATTTTTCCCAAGAGGAACTCTTTCTTATTCCCTGAATCTTCCTTTTTTCTTGTTCCTATTTCAGTGATGAAATGAAAATATTAGTTTCATTTTACATTTAATATCAGATTAAATATTAACCTGAAAATATTAATTGTAATTTAAGTTTACTCTGTTCCCTGCACTATCTCTTTTTCCTCAGGATTTGTTTTTTCTTTTTACATGTTCTGGTCTCTGTCATACGTTCTTCAAACAACTCTGATTCTTGCATGTCCTTATTTAAGAGAGAAACACTGAAAAACAAAATTTAAACATGTGGAGACAGCCCTCATTTAAATATCTGGGTCATTTCACTGGAGGTCTCTGTTATCAACATCCAGCGTTTTGTGGTTATCCTTTCTGTCTCTTTGCCCTTGTAGGTTTATGCCCTTTTCTTCTTTAATGTCATGGGGAATTTAGGAGAAGAATGTGGCCAGGAAGAAATGAAGATAGATTTGGATGTTCGATACACAGGTTTTTTCTCAATGGCAATGTCCTGGGTGGTCAGGTAACATTCTCTTCAGGTCTAAGGTACCGTATCTGAGGGGTTCCTATTGCTCTTTCATCTTTTAAACTGTGATGTCAGGGGTTTGGGGGTTTGGGGTTTTTGTTGTTGTTGTTGTTGTTGTTGTTGTTGTATCTAAGCTCTAGTCACAACCAACTCCCTCCGTAAAAAGAAAAAAAAAAAACACCTTTTAACCTCGCTGTGTGCCCTCCAAAATTTGTCAGATACCTAAAGCCTGCCATGTACTCTAGGTGCTTTTTTCTCCCTGGGATCTAGAGAAGTTAACTCCAGAAGGCCCAGCAACCCACCCGAAACAGGCAACTCTGCCAAGAAATCATTTGGCTAAGTGTGGTATTGGTATCATACTAGGACTTGTCTCTCAGAGAAAAACTTTAGACTTTATATTAGTCCGTTCTCACACTGCTAATAAAGACATACCTGACAGTGAGTAATTTATAAAGGAAAGAGATTTAATTGACTCACGGTTCAGCATGGCTGAGGAGGCCTCAGGAAACTTATAATCATGTTGGAGGGGGAAACAAACATTTCCTTCACATGGCGACAGCAAGGAGAAGTGCAGAATGAAGGGGGAGAAAAGCCCCTTATAAAACCATCAGAACAGGATACGGGAAACCGCCCTCATGATTCAATTATCTCCACCTGGTCCTTCCCAAGACACATGGGGATTATGGGAACTACAATTCAAGATGAGATTTGGGTAGAAAACAGCCAAATCATATCAGACTTTCTAATGAATATAAGCGTTTTTTTCTTTTTTTTTTTTAAATCTGTGATTTATTTTCATGATGCCCCATCTAGGAATGGTGAATGATATCTTACCTAATACCTAAGTTCTTTAAAAATATGCTTTCTTTTGTTTTCTTTCCTGTGAGAATTCCTTTTTTTTTTTTTTTAAAAAAAAAAAAAGGGGGGGTGGTGGAGGAATGGAATTAATTATCTTGTAAGACTAACATTGCAAAAAATATATACTGAGGTTACCTTGGAGTCAGAAAGCTGAATTTAAACCCCAGCTGTTTCCTATAGGATATATTGCTTTGGGCAGTTCGGTTAACTTTGCTGAGGCTGTTTCCTTATCTGTAAAATGGGGCTACTATGCCTCCCTCACAGACTCATGAGGATTAAATAAATGTCCATGAAAGGACCTTACACAGACCCTGCCACATAAGCATTCAACAACTGTCTGGTTCTGTTTTATCTGAAGAAGGTTTTTAATGAATAAAGCAATGTAAAGCCAAAATTAGTATTCACATCACATTCAGTTTTGTCCCTGGCATGTGTCCCCATTTGCTTTTCCATGTGTTGGTTCCTCACAGTACTAATTAGGTCACATCAAATATGCTGTAATTGACCATGGCACTTGTGCAGGTTTACATTTTCACACACCAAAACTAAAAATAAATTAATAACCAGCAATTTTGACAATTATGGTCAATTAATTTGTCAACCTAACATTTGGCATATATACTTTCTGTTTAAAACTTAAAACTGTCTATTAAAACACAGAAAAACTGAACTAAATGAACTAAATATAAAAATATTCTTTTAATCCAAAAGAAGACAGTCAAAAGGGGAAATGGAAACAGAGAACACATGGGACAAATAGAAAACAAACACAAAGAAATTGATTTAAACCTAACCATATCAATAATTACATTTAATTACATTAAACGTAAAAAGTCTACATCCCAATTAAAAGCAGAGATTTCAAATTAGATTTTTAAAACAATAAGACCGAACTATATGCTGCCTGCAAGAAACAAACTTCAAATATAAAGACGCAAATAGGTTAAAATAAAACCAGGGAGATTTGGCAAGATGGACAACTAGATGCAGCCGCTACTGAGGTAGAACAGCTGCTACCGAGGGAACAGGACGGCTGGTGCACTCCTAACAGATCTTCAGAGGGAAGGCAGGGAGTGGATAGAGGGAAGACACAGGAGCTGAACTGAAGTGGGAACCCTGCATGGGGCTACCGTGCAATGGGACTCATTCTTGGCCCCCAGTGACTCCAGGGGAATGGGTGACTTGAGCTGGCAAGGAGCAACCCACTCTCACCACAGGCCTCCGGAATCCCGGCATGAGGAGACTCCTTAACTATTACAGACACTTGAGCCAGCAGGGAGAACTGCTCAGAGAAGTGGTAGGGGCAGCATGCCAGCCAATGTAGAGCCCAGAGGGTTTGGTGCAGGAGCTTTGTAGCAGAGCATGACCAGGGACACCCATTCCCCAAGGCTCAACTTGCTCCCATAGGAGACTTTAGCCCCAGAAAAACTGTCCAACCTGAGCTCTGCAGGGCGGTCTTGGCCATCAGATAGGGCCAGTCTGACCTGAGCACCCCTTGGTCTGCTGGGCTCTTCCAAGGGCCCAGCCTGGCCACACCTGCTTGCAGTGCAGCATCTGGTGCCCCGAGGGTCCACATCATAGCTCCTGTGCTGGCATAGAGCTCCAGCTCCAGCCCCTGTGGCCACACATCAGCCTACCCACTCTCTCCCCACACTACAGCTTCCCTGAGTCCACAGCCACCTCTCACATTTCATTGCTGGGCTGTGTGTGCATGGGTGGATTTTGCCTTCCCTGCCCTACCAGTGCACATGTGCATGTCCACCCCACCCTGCCTCTGCTTCCAGTGGGACTGCACCCCACTCCCCCTTGCCTGCTATACCACCATTGCAGCCATAGCCTTGGTGGACACAGAGCCAGCCAGCCCCACCTGCACAAGCGCCCCACCCCAGAGCCAGCACTGCCACCAGTGAAACTAGGCATGAAGAACAGCAAACCCTCCCCTACATTTCTTTAAATGAAAGAAAGAATGCCAAATGCAGCTAGAGAGAAAGGCACATACAGACCTGCCCCTGCCAGGTCCCCACCCCTGTGCTAGCACCACCACCAGTGTAACCACACACACAGTCACCAACAGGCGCCCCCAACCACCCCAGGCCATGCTGCTTCCACTGCTGCTGTGAATGCCTGCACAGGGGCAGACACCCCAGCACCCGCTAGCACCCCACTGCAGCCGACAAGTGTGTGCCCCGCTGCACTGCCACTGCCGCTGCTGCTAACACATGCGAACAAGGATGGATGCTGCTGCCACCACTCTATAAAACACTTTGGCTGCCACCACCCATCAAAATGTAGTGACCAGTAGTCTGAGAGCACCTTCTCCCCCCACCACTGTGGGTTTCTAAGCTCAAGGAACTAGAGAACAAAGTCAAGGACAGATACAAGTCACCCAGAGTTAGAGCATGCAGTTGGGAGCTAAGCCTTGGGCCTCCAAAATCTTACAGATGAAGCCAACAAACTGAACCTACCTTATACTACAATCAAACCTTCAAGGTCATCAAAAAGGATAAAAGGATAAAAACCCATCCAAAGGAAAGCAATTTCAAAGAATGAAGGAATACCAGCCCACAAAGATGAGAAAGGACCAGTGCAAGAACTCTGACAACTCAAAAAGCCAGACTGCCTTCTTTCTTCCAAATGGCCACACTGCCTCTCTAGCAAGGGTTCTGAACTGGGCTGAGATGGCTGAAATGACAGAAATAGAATTCAGTATATGGATAGGAATGAAGATCATTGAGATGCAGGAGTACACTAAAACCCAATTCAAGAAAGGTAAGAATCACAACAAAATGATACGATATCTGACAGACAAAATAACCCATATAGGAAATAATGTAACTAACCTGATAGAGCTGAAAAACACAATACAAGAATTTCATAATGCAATCCCAAGAATTGAAAGCAAAATAGATAAAGCTGAGGAAAGAATCTCAGAGCTTGAAGAGCTGCTTTAAGAAATAAGACAGACAAGAGTAGAGAAAAAAGAACGAAAAGGAATAAACAAACGTACGAGAAATATGGGATTATGTAAAGAGACCACATCTATGACTCATTGGTGCCCCTGAAAGAAATGGGAGAATGGGAGCAACTTGGAAAACATATTTCAGGATATTATCCATAAGAATTTCCCCAACCTAGCTAGAGAGGCCAACATTCAAATTCAGGCAATCCAGAGAACCTCAGGAAGATACTTCACAACAAGATCATCCCCAAGACATATAATCATCAGCTTCTCCAAGGACTAAATGAAAGAAAGAATGCTAAATGCAGCTAGAGGGAGAGGTCAGGTCACCTAAAAAAGGAAGTCCATCACACTAACAGCAGACCTCTCGGTAGAAACCCACAAGCCAGAAGAGATTGGGGACCAATATTCAACATTCTTAAAGCAAAGAAGTTCCAAATTCCAACCCAGAAATTCTATTTTTTTTTTTCAGACAGCATCTCATTCTGTCACCCAGGCTGGAATACAGTGGCACAATCACAGCTCACTGCAGCCTCAACCTCCCAGCCTCAAGTTATTCTCCCACATCAGCCTCCTAAGTAGCTGGGACTACAAATGTGCAGCACCACCGCATTGGCTAGTTTTTCATAATTTTTTGTAGAAATGGGGTTTCTCCATCTTGCCCAGGCTGGTCTCAAACTCCTGGGCTCAAGTGATCTGCCCTCCTCAGCCTCCCAAAACCCAGAATTTCATATCTGGCCAAACTAAGCTTTATAATTGGAGGAGAAATAAGATCCTTTTCAGATATGCAAATACTGAGGGAATTCATTACCACCAGGCCTGCCTTGCAAGAGCTCCTGAAGGAAGCACTAAATATAGAAAGGAAAAACTATTACCAGCCATTACAAAAACACACTGAAGTACACAGACCAATGATGCTATGAAGCAACCACATAAACAAGTCTGCAAAATAACCAGCTAGCATCATGATAACAAGATCAAATTCACACATAACAATATTAACCTTAAATGTCAATGGGCTAAATGCCCCAATGAAAAGACACAGAATGGCAAGCTGTATAATGAGCCAAGACCCATCAGTATGCTGTCTTCAAAAGACCCATCTCAATTGCAAAGACACATATAGGCTCAAAACAAAGGGATGGAGGAAAATTTACCAAGCAAATGGAAAATAGAAAAAAAAGCAGGAGTTGCAATCCTAGTTTCCAAAAAAACAGACTTTAAACCAACAAAGGTTAAAAAAAAAAAAAAAAAAAGGCGGAGGCAGGGGGGGCGTTACATAATGGTTAAGGGTTCCATTCAAAAAGAAGAGCTTGTACTTCTTGCACTCAATACAGGAGCACTCAGATTCATAAAGCAAGTTCTTAGAGACCTACAAAGAGATTTAGACTCTCACACAATAAAAGTGGGAGACTTTAACATCCCAGTGACAGTATTAGACAGATCATCGAGACAGAAATGTCTCAGTGATAAAGTCAAAGATATTCAGGACCTAAACTCAGCTCTGGATCAAGTGGACCTGATAGATATCAGCAGAACCCTCCACCCAAAAACAACAGAATATATATTCTTCTCATTGCCACATTGCACTTACTCTAAAATTGATCATATAATTGGAAGTAAAACACTCCTCAGCAAATGCAAAAGAACTGAAATCATAACAGTCTCTCAGACAGCACAATCAAATTAGAATTCAAGATTAAGAAACACTCAACACTACACAGCTACATGGAAATTAACAACCTGCTCCTGAATGACTCCTGCATAAATAATGAAATTAAGGCAGAAATCAAGAAGTTCTTTGAAACCAATGACAACAAAATGACAACGTACCAGAATCTCTGGGCTGCAGCTAAAGCAGTGTTAAAATGGAAATTTATAGCACTGACTGCCCACATCTAAAAGTTAGAAAGATCTCAAATTGACAACCTAATATCACTACTAAAAGAACTAGAGAGCCAAGAGCAAACAAACCCCAAAGCTAGCAGAAGACAAGAAATAAGCAAGAACAGAGCGGAACTGAAGGAGATAGAGACATGAAAAACCCTTCAAAAAATCAACGAATCCAGGAGGTGGTTTTTTGAAAAAATTAATAAAATAAATAGACCACTAGCTAGACTAATAAAAAAGAGAGAAGAATCAAATTGGCATAATCAAAAATTATAAGGGAGTTATCACCATTGACCCCACAGAAATACAAACAACTATCAGAGAATACTATAAACACCTCTATGCACAAAATAGAAAATCTAGAAGAAGTGGATATGTTCCTGGACACATACACCCTCCCAAGACTGAACCAGGAAGAATTTGAATCTCTGAATAGGCCAATAATGAGTTCTGAAATTGAGGCAGTAATAAATAACCTACCAACCAAAACAAGCTCAGGACCAGACAGATTTACAGCTGAATTCTATCAGAGGTACAAAGAGGGGCTGTTATCATTTCTACTGAAACTATTCCAAACAATTGAAAAGGAGGAACTCTTTCCTAACTCCCTTTATGAGGTCAGCATCATCATGATGCCAAAATGTGGCAGAGGTAAAACAAAAATAGAAAATTTCAGGCCAATATTCCTGATGAATATTGATGTAAAAATCCTCAATAAAATGCTGGCAAACCAAATCCAACAGCACATCAAAAAGCTTATTTGCCATGATCAAGTTGGCTTCATCCCCAGGAAGCAAGGTTGGTTCAACATATGCAAATCAATAAATGTAATTCATCACATAAACAGAACTAAAGACAAAAACCAAACGATTATCTCAATAGATGCAGAAAAAAACCTTTGATAAAATTCAACATCCCTTCATGTTACAAACTCTCAATAAAGTAGCTATTGAAGGAACATACCTCAAAATAATAAGAGCCATATATGACAAAGTCACAGCCAATATCATACTGAATGGGCAGAAGCTGGAAGCATTTCCCTTGAAAATCAGCACAAGGCAAGGATACCCTCTCTCACTGCACCTATTCAACATAGTATTGGAAGTTCTGGCCAGGGCAACCAGGCAAGAGAAAGAAATAAAGAGCATCCAAATAGGAAGAGAGGAAGTCAAACGATCCTTGTTTGCAGATGACATGATCCTATATCTAGAAAACTGCATAGTCTTGGTCCAAAAGCTCTGTAAGCTGATAAACAACCAGTAAAGTTTCAGGACACAAAATCAACATACAAAAATCACTAGAATTTCCATACACTAACAATTGCCAAGCCGAGAGCCAATTCACAAATGCAATCTCACTCACAATTGCCACAAAAAGAATAAAGTACCTAGGAATACATTAATCAGGGAGGTAAAAGATCTCCACAATGAGAATTACAAAACACTGCTCAAAGAAATCAGAGATGACACAAACAAATGGAAAAACATACCATGCTCATGGATAGGAAGAATCAGTATTATAAAAGTGGCCACACTGCTCAAAGCAGTTTAAAAACTCAATGCAATTCCTACCAAACCGCCAATTACATGGAATTTGACAACCTGCTCCTGAATGACTCCTGGATAAATAATGAAATTAAGGCAGAAATCAAGAAGTTCTTTGAAACAAATGAGAACAGAACTAGAAAAAACTACTTTAAAATTCTTATGGAACCAAAAATAGGTCCAAATGGCCATGGCAATCCTAAGCAAAAGAAACAAGGCTGGAGGCATCATACTACATTACTTCAAAGAATACTACAGGTCTACAGTAACCAAAAGAGTATGGTACTGGTACAAAAACAGACAGATAGACCAATGGAACAGAATACAGAACCTAGAAATAAGGCCATGCACCTATGACCATCTGATTTTGACAAAGTTGACAAAAACAAGCAATGGGGAAAGGAGTCTCTATTCAATAAATGTTGCTGGGATAACTGGCTAGCCATATGCAGAAGATTGAAATTGGACCCCTTCTTTACACCATATACAAAAATCAACTCAAGATGGATCAAAGACTTAAATGTAAAACCCGAAACTATAAAACCCCTGGAAGTCAACCTAGGCAATACCATTCTGGATGCAGGAATAAGTAAAGATTTCATAACAAACATGCCAAAAGCAATGGGCAACAAAAACAAAAGTTGACAAATGGGATCTAAGTAAACTAAAGAGCTTCTGCACAGCAAAAGAAACTCTCAACAGAGTAAACAGACAACCTAAAGAGTGGGAGAAAATTTTTGCAAACTATGCATATGACAAAGATCTAGTATACAGCATCTATAAGGAATTTAAATAAATCTACAAAGAAAAAAATCCCATTAAAAAGTGGGCAAAGGACACGAACAGAATTTTTCAAAAGAAGACATATGTGCAGCTAGAAAGCACAGGCAAAAGAGCTCAATATCACTGATCATTAGAGAAATACAAATCCAAACCAGAATGGGATACCTTCTCACACCACTCAGAATGTCTATTATTAAAAAGTCAAAAAATAACAAGTGCTGACGAGGTTGCAGAGAAAAAGGAATGCTTATACACTGTTGGTAGAAGTGTAAATTAGTTCAACCATTGTGGGAAACAGTGTGGTAATTCCTAAAGATCTAAAAACAGAACTGCCATTTAGCCTAGCAATCCCATTACTGGGTATATACCCAAAGGAATATATATTGTTCTATCATAAAGATACATGCACATGTATGTTCATTATAGCACTATTCACAATAGCAAAGACATGAAATCAATCTAAATGTCCACCAATGGTAGACTGGATAAAGAAAATGTGGTACATATACACGATAGAATACTACACAGCCATAAAAAGGAACAAGATCATGTCTTTGCAGGAACATGGATGGAGCAGGAGGCCATTATCCTTAGCAAACTAATGCAGGAACAGAAAACCAAATACTTCATGTTCTCACATACAAGTAGGAGCTAAATGATGAGAACACATGGACACAAAGAGGGGAACCACAAACACGGGGGCCTACCAGAAGGTGGATGGTAGGAGGAGGAAGAGGATCAGGAAGAATAACAAATCAGTACTAGGCTTAATACTTAGGTGATGAAATAATTAGTACAACAAACCCCCATGACACAAGTCTACCTATATAACAAACCTGCACATGTACTTCCAAACATAAAATTTTAAAAAAAGTAAAACCAAGGAAAATGATATATCATGATAATTCTAATGGAAATAAATCTAGTGTGGCTATTTTGATAGTAACAATATAAATTTCAGAACAACAAGTGTTACCAAAGATAAAGAGGGTCCACAGTAGATTACAGGTGAGGCAAACAATATTCTAACAAAAAGCATAAAGCAGTCAATTGATCAAGAATATATACAAATTCTAAACATTCATGCATCTAACAATAGTTTCAAAATACGTAAAGCAAAACTGATAAAACTGTAAGAAGAAATAGACAACCCTGCAATCTGTCAGAGATTTCAAAACACTTCTCTCAATAATTGGCAGAACAAGTAGACAGGAAAATCAAGAAGGGTAAAAAGATTTTAAACAACACTATCAAAAAACTTCACCTAATTGGCATTCATAAAACACCCACATAACAATAGCAGAATACACATTCTTTGCAAATGCACTCAGAACTTTTATTAAGATAAACCATAGTCAGAGCTGATATAGCTTGAATATTTGTCCCTTCCAAATCTCAGGTTGAAATATCATCCCTAATGTTGGAGGTGAGGCCTAGTGGGAGGTGTTTGGGTCATGAGGGCGGATCCCTCATGAGTGGCTTGGTGCACCCTTCATGGTAATGAGTGAGTCCTCACTTTATTAATTCACAATAGATTGTTAAGAAATGGCTTGGCACTTCTTCCCTTCCCTCATGTTCCCACTCTCACCATCTGACATGCCTACTCCTTCTTCACCTTCTACCATGAGTAAAAGTTTCCTGAGGTCCTCACCAGAAACAAATGCTGGCACCATCCTTCTTGTTCAACCTACAGAACTGTGAGCCAGGTGAACATCTTTTTTAAATAAATTACCCAGCCTCATGCATTCCTCTATAGCAACACAAAATGGACTAATATAATGGCCATAATGTAAGTCTTGTAAAATATAAAATGATTCAAATCAGATAAAGTATACTCTTTAAGAACAATGGAATTACAAATCAATAGCAAGAAAATGTCTTTTAAAATACTCAAACATTTGGCAACTAAATAATATACTTCTAAATAATCCAGGGGTCAAAGAAAAAAATTAAAATGGAAATTAGAAAGTATTTTAAACTAAATATAAATGAAAACACAACATATCTAAGTTTTGGATGCTGCTAAAGTAGCACATAGAGGAAAGTTAAAGCAATAACTACCTACACTAGAAAAAAGAAAGATCTCAACTTCCACCTTAAGAGACTACAAGAAGCAAATTAAACCCTAATTAAGTGAAAGAAAAGAAAAAATACAAATTACATCAGAAACCAAGACACATAAAACAGAAAAGAATAGAGACAATTCGTGAAGCTAAAGGCTGCTTGAGAATATAATATTTTTAAGAATTGAGAAACCTCAAGCTACGTTGAACAGTAACAAAAATAACAAAGACAGGAATGAGAGCTAAAATCACTACTAATTCTAATATAAAGGATAATAGGGGAAGAGTATAAAACAACTTTATCCCAATAATTTGACAACATGGATGAAACGGACATATTACATATTATTTGAAAGACACAAACTATAAAATCTCACTCCAGAAAATATACATAGGAAGTCAGTGGGAATGAGGGAATAAGAACTTCTAAAAATCTTCTCCTCCATAAAAGTAATGAGAATACTGGCAAAAATTTATATTTCAGAATTAACATTTCAGAACTCTAGAAATTAACTAAAGACTTACCATAGTCTTCAGAGCATTTATTCAAAAGAAAGCTGAATACCAGCAAGAACAGTGAGTTTTGCGGCATTTAAACTTACTCTATTTTCCTCCACCTCTATCCTGTTCTGCTGTAGTCTTGAAAATTAACAGCCACAATCACAAAGTCACTTGAGGGAAAAGAATAGATTTGGAGCTTCTCTAAAGCCCTCTTTCAGAGAAGTGTTATTATTTTACCTGTCTGGTGGTACCCTGGAGACCTCACTCATGAGGCTTGTCTTTATTTGACCTGACTCAGAGCTACTGAAAACAGCCTTTTCTCCAAGGTGTTTGTCAAAAAAAAAAAAAAAAAAAGCAGCAATTGTTTGATATCATGGCTGCCTGACATGGTAGATTATAGTTGGGGCAAACAATATGCCAGCCAAAAAGCTTAAAGGGAAAAATTGGAGAGTGATACGTCCATAAAGGGTGTTAGAGACTGAATTGTTTTTACCCCAAATTCTTATGTTGAAGTCCTAACCCCCAGTGCCTTAGAATGTGACTGTATTTGGAGATACGACCTTTACAGACTAAATTGGGTTTAAATAGGGTGGTCATTGTAGGGGCCCTGTTACAATGTAACTGGTTTTCTTATAAGAGAAGAGACATCAGGGATGTGCACATACAGAGAAAAAGGCCATGTGAGAACTTAGTGAAAGTGGCCATCTGAAAGCCAAGAAGAGGGCCCTAAGGAGAAACCAAACCTGCTAACACTTTTATCTTGAATCCTAGTCTCCAGAACTGTGAGAAAATAAATTTCTGTTGTTTAAGCCACCCAGTCTGTAGCATTTTGTTATAGCAGCCTTAGCAAACTAACACAAGGGGCTTTGAAAAGCTTTGCCATATGCCAGAGGATCAAGAAGGTCATGCACATGTGTAAAGCTGTGCACATGCCCAGGGCTGTGTGCATGTTCAGGAAAGACTCGAGAGAGACTCTGCACAACAAGAAGTAAACATGAAGACACAACTGCAAATTCCCTGGCTGAGTGATAAATCTATGCCCAAACATGAACACAGAATCCCCCAGTAAAGACAAGAGATTCCAGGCATTTTTTAAAAATCACAGTTTGATCATTAGTTGCTAATTAACCTGAGCAGAGATTTCAGGGGACATACTTGACAAAGAATAAAATTCGTTTCAGAATTAGTTCATAAAACCACTAAACAAGCAGCGATAACAGCAAGCCCTGGTGAGAGAAGAGAATCTAATTTCCCAAATTGCCTCATTTCATTATTTAAAATGTATAGTTTTCAACAAAAAGTACAAGACATTCATAGAAACAAGAACTTATGGCCTATAAGCAGGGAGCTAGAGGGAAAGCAATGAGTAGAAATTATTCCTGTCCAGATGTTGGACTTACTAGACAAAGACTTTAAATCAGCTATATGAAAGATGTTCAGAGAATTAAATAAAACCATGTCTAGAGAACTAAAGGAAAGTCCAAAAACAATGTCTCATCATCAAGACAGGACATCAATAAAGAGGTGGAAATTCTCTTTTTTTTTTTTTTTTTTTTTTGAGATGGAGTCTTGCTTTGTTGCCCAGGCTGGAGTGCAGTGGTGCGATCTTGGCTCACTGCAAGCCTGCAAGCTCTGCCTCCCAGGTTCACACCGTTCTCCTGCCTCAGCCTCCCGAGTAGCTAGGACTACAGGCACCCGCCACCACGCCCGGCTAATTTTTTGTATTTTTAGTAGAGACGGGGTTTCACCGTGTTAGCCAGGATGGTCTTGATCTCCTAACCTCGTGATCCACCCATCTCGGCCTCCCAAAGTGCTGGGATTATAGGTGTGAGCCACTGCACCCAGCTGAAATTATTTCTTAAGAAAAACAACCAAATAGAAATTCCACAGTTGAAATGTACAATAACAATAATGAAAAATTCACCAGAGAAGCTCAAGAGCTGATTTAAACAGGCAAAAGAATCAGTGAACTTGAAGCTAGGATAATTGAAATTATCCAATCTAAAGAATAGCAGAAAAAAAATGAAGAGAAATGAATGGAGATTTACAGACCAGTAGGCCAAATAAAGAAGAAACAACCCAAATATATACCAAGTGACGAATGGATAAACAAAATATAGTATATCCATACAATGAAATATTATTCAGTCATAGAACAGAATGATGTACAGACACAGGCTGAAATATGGATAAACCTTGCAAACATTATGCTAAATGAAAGAATACAGGCAGAAAACATGCCACATAGTATATCATTCCATTTATATGAACTCTCCAGAAGAGGTAAATCCATAAAGACAGAAAATAGGTTAGTGGTCTGCAAAAGTTGGAGGGGAAGGAAGAATGGAATCTGACTGATAATGGATGTGGGGTGTCTTTTTGGGGTAATAAAAGTGTTCTGGAAGTAGTGATGATTGTTGTACAACTTAGTGTGTATAAATCCACCAATTTGTACACTTTAAAGAGGTAAATTTTGTAGTATGCAAGTAAGATTTCAGTAAAAAAGGTGGATGAAAATAAAAAGATTAAAAGAAGAAATACATAATCTAAATAACTCTATCTGTTAACAAATTGAATTTGTAGTTTAAAATCTTCCCAAAAAGATGAGTTGAATGTGAATTCCATGAAACATTTAAGGAGAAAGTATAAACAAACGCTTCCAGAATATTGTTAAAGAAGGAATGCTTTCCAATTCATTCTGTAACACCAACATTACCTTGTTATCAAAACCACAAAGACATTACTAAAAAAGAAAACTACAGACCAATCTCCCTCATAAAATTAGACGCAAAAATTCTGAACAAATTAAGCAAGTTGAATCCAACAACATAATAAGAATAATACATCATAATGGAGTTTATCATAAGAACGCACACTTGGTTATACAATTATGCACTGTATTATACAATGTATACACTTGGTTATACAAAAATTAAACAATAAATTTAGCATATTGACTAATTAAACATGGCTGTAAGTATGTATTTACATATAAAGCATCCATTCTTGGCCGGGAGCGGTGGCTCATGCTTGTAATCCCAGCACTTTGTGAGGCCGAGGCAGGCGGATCATGAGGTCAAGAGATCAAGACCATCCTGGCCAACATGGTGAAACCCCATCTCTATTAAAAATACAAAAATTAGCCGGGCATGGTGGCAGGTGCCTGTAGTTCCAGGTACTCGGGAGGCTGAGGCAGGAGAATCGCTTGAACCCAGGAGGTGGAGCTTGCAGTGAGCCGAGATCGTGCCACTCCACTGCAGCCTGGAGACAGAGTGAGACTCGGTCTCAAAAAAAAAAAAAAAGCATCCATTCTTGATTACTGGAAAACTAGAAATAAAAGTGCAACTCCTCAGCCTGATAAGGGCATCCACAAAAAACTTACAGCTCGTATTATATTTAATGGTAAAATACTGAATGTTTAGTCCCTAATACAGGAATAACAACAGACATTTTCTCTCACCACTTCTATTCAATATTCAATATTGTACTGGAGGTTTTGGCTAGTACAATAAGACCAAAAAAAAAAAAAAAAGGAAGGAAAGGAGAGAGGAATGGAGGGAAGGCATCCAGATTAAAAAGAAAAAAAGTGAAACTGTATTTGTAGATAGTGTGTTGTCTATGTAAAATGGCATCTCCAAAAAGTGATTAGAACTAATACATGAATTTAGCAAGGTTGTAGGATCACAAGTTCAAGATAGGAAAATCAACTGCCTTTATATACACAGGTTTATCTTGTTTCATTGCACTTTATTGCACTTCGCAGATATTGCATTTTTTTTACAAATTGAAGGTTTGTGGCAACCCTCCACTGAGCAAGTCTATCAACATTTTTTAAGAGCATGTGTTCACTTCATATCTCTGTGTCAGCATTTCTTAGCAATAAAGTATTTTAAAATTAAACTATGTACACTGTTTTTAAACATAATGCTATTGCACACTTAATAGACTATAGTATAAATGTAACTTTTATATGCACTTGCAAACCAAATAATTTGTGTGACTTGCTTTATTGCAATATTGGCTTTATTGTGATGGTATGGAACTGAACCTACAATATCTCCAAGGTTTGCCTGTACTAGCAAAATAAATAATTGAGAAATTTAAACTAAAATATACCTCCATTTACAAAGCCATTAAAATATGAAATATTAAAGGATAAAACTGACAAACGTGGTGCAAAACCTGTTCATTTAAAACTACAAATATTGCTCAGAGACATTAAAGAAGGCCTAAATGAAGAATTAAGCCATATTCATGGGTTAATTCTTAAAAATACTCAATATTGTTAAGCTGTCAATTTTTCCCAAATTGATCTATAGATTTAACACAGTCTTAACCAAAATCTGAGGGACTTTTTTTTTGCAGAAATTGACAAGCTCAATCTAAAATATATATGGAAATGCAAAATACACAGAATTTATGCAAATTACATGCAAAATATATAGAATACAGGTTTTAGCTAAACAG